>NC_000003.12:196272565-196423565 GCF_000001405.40 Homo sapiens
ACCTCGACCTCCCAAAGTGCTGGAATTACAGGTGTGAACCACTGCACCTGGCCCTTCCCCTTCTTTTCTCAGTACTCATTTCCCTTTCCTCTTTCAGGGTCTTAACACCTCAAGCTTGTTCACAGTTTCCAGCTATTAAAACCCCCTCAGGGATTCTCCTTCCCCCAAAGGAACTTATTTATTATTGTCTCATTTAGCAGAGAGTTTCTAGCAACTAGCTATTACAGCAAAGTTCTGAATATTCTGTATTTCATGTTTAAGTCACAGAATACTTGGGGTGTCACTTCGCTAGCCAGAAACCTCTGTGGCCAGTGGCACCTTTGCCTGAGTTTTGCTCAGGCCCGCCGGGCTCGTTCCGTCCACTCAGCCTGGTAGGCTATGCTCAGCTTGTGTTACCAGCACAGATTCCATGCATGCCAAGGACAAGCCAGGCACGGAGCGGCAAGAGGTGCACAGGCGAGCCAGCACAGGGTCCGGCCACTGCGCACAGCCAGGCACGCCAGCTGCCAGGGGGTGAGCAGCTCGAGGCGCCAGCTCCCTGAGAGGCTGCAGCTGAACCAGGCGTACTACAAGCAGCTTCCACTGCAGGCACTGGGGAACATGGTGCTGCCCAGAAGCTTGGAGAGGCCAGGAACCACAGAGCTCCAAAGAGGGTGTCACAGCCCTGGCTCAAGGAGCTCCTAGGTCTGGGCTTCCCAAAGGGCTACAGCTCTTCTCTTTCTCTCTCCTCTCTTCTCTCTTTCTGTTGCCCACAGCGTGGCAAGCAGTGGGGGAGGGGAGGACGTGTTTCGGCTCTGTTTGTGTTTCAGCTCTTTCAGTCCCACCATTTGGCAGATCCCGAGTTCTTGTCCCACGTCCAGGAAGAATGAGGTATATGGACAACTGGAGGACGAGCAAGGTGAAGAGGTGCTTTATTGAGCAACACAACAGCCCTCAGGAGACCCCAAGCGGGTAGCTCCTTTCCGCAGCAGGTCGTCCCAGCATCTGTGCAGCCCTCAGCGGAGAGGAGACCCAGAGTGGATAGCTCCTATCTGCAGGCAGGTCATCCTGACGTCTCTGCAGCCCTCAGTGGAGAGGAGACCTGGAGTGGGAAGCTCCTATCCGCAGGCAGGTCATCCCATCAAGTATGGCTGAGTCCAGGGTTTCTACGGGCTTCAGCGGGCAGGAAGTGCATGCTGATTGGTCCATGGGCAGCCACAGGCAGCCCGGAAAAAGCATCGTAAGTTCTCATTCCAGTCCACAGAACTGGCAGCCTGGGCCCCAGGCTTCAGGCCATCCCTGGCTTGAAGGTGGGGCTTCACCAGGGACCCGCCCATTTCCGCCTAGGAGCCTGTCTGCCTCCTGCTGTCATCAACCTGCTGTCCACAGCGCCCAGGCTATTCACGAAGGGGCGCCTGCAGGCCTGAATGGAGCTGCTCTCAGCTCCGCCTTGGCGTCCCCTCCTGTGCTGCTGGACACCCAAAATCCAGAGGGGGCCAAGGCAGAAGGGGGCTGGCATGTCAGCACTGCCCCTAGCACACGCAAACCCAGCCAGGTCATGACAGTGCCCAGGCTTGGCCTCAACTTTGCTCCAAAATCAGAGCAGGCACCAGGAGCAAGGAGAGGCCAGGCAGTGGGAGCAGGCACTTCAAGCCTGCAGGGGCAGGGGAGGTTCCTGGGCCCCCAAAAGCACAGGGAAGCCCGGGTATGTAGCCACGGCTGCTCCCGCCCTGCCAACTTGGAAACGGGCAGGGCTTCCACCTACTCCCAGCTCCCAGTGGCTCCATGGAGCGTGCAGCACAGACCATGCCTCCCCGACTGCAGCCGGCATCATGGCAGCAGCCCATCCAGACAGGCCACCGCTGCCATCATTTAGATGTTGGCTTTTCAGCCCCCTGCAGGGATAGTTGCGTTTTTCTTAAGTAACACAATTTGTACAAATAAATTACTTTCTTGATACTGATGAAATTTTAGGAATCAGCCAGAAATTGGGGGTAGGGGAAACTCTATGATAAACTGTCATCTCTGCACAAGATACGGTTCAGAGAAAAATCTTCAGAACAGGTGGAAAACCAATGCCAGACAGAATGAGGACAGTCTGCTCTGCCCTACTGCCTCTCATAAGCCTGACTGAGATGTTCGTCTAAACAACTGCAACTGTGCCTTACTTTCTTTCCTCCGGCTCAACTCCGAGTGGCAATATGACAAGATCTACAAGAAACTGGCCTAATTCTTAGAAGCTGAAGGTGACACCCCATGAGTCATGGCCAACATGAAAAAATGTCAGAGTCGAAAGTGAAAGATGAGCACCACCTAGAAACTTCCTTTCATCACAAATGCAAATTAAAATGGAAGAAGGGTTCTATACATTTCACTCCGAGTTCTTTCAGTGATGATGATCAGAGCTTGTCTTCACTATTGTTCTTAATGATTCCTTCATAATATTCAGAGGTCAATACTCTCATCTCAGTGGTCTGAGTGAACTACTCAAAATGCCTAATCCATCCAATTAATGATTGTTTTCTAATTTGCACAGTACTCTTCTGTAAGTATCTGCTCAATTCTTCTAAGTGTAGAGAGACAAAATCCACTATGAGAAATATAATCAGCAATTTGGCATCTGGCAAGTCAATAATATCAGGCAGTCAAAAATATGAGTACTTACTGCTTACAAAGTACTGTATCATAATTTTTAAGTACAAACTGAACCTGGAGGACATTATGCTAAGTGAAATAAGCCAGACGAGAAAGACAAATACCACAAATGACCTCACTTATTTGTGGAATCTAAAAGAGTGGAACTCACAGAAGTACAGAATGGAATGGTGGTTACAAGAGATGGACAGAAGAGGGTGGAGAGCAAAAAGGGAGATGTCGAGTACAAAAATTCAGTTTTGAAAGGAGAAACAGGCTGGGCACAGTGGCTCACGCCTGTAATCTCAGCCTTTGGGAGGCTGAGGCGGGTGGATCACGAGGTCAAGAGATCGAGACCATCCTGGCCAACATGGTGAAACCCCATCTCTACTAAAAGTACAAAAAATAGCTGGGTGTGGTGGCGCATATCTGTAATCCCAGCTACTCGGGAGGCTGAGGCAGAAGAATCCCTTGAACCCAGGAGACAGAGGTTGCAGTGAGCTGAGATCGCACCACTGCACTCCAGCCTGGCAACAGAGTAAGACTCTGTCTCAACAAAAAAGAAAAAAAAAAAGAATGGAGAAATAAGCTTTAGTGATCTATTGCACAGAATGGTGACTATAATAAATAATAATGCAGCCAGGCACGGTGGCTCACACCTGTAATCCCAGCACTTTGGGACGCCAAGGCAGGCGGATCACAAGGTCAGGAGATTGAGAACATCCTGGCTAACACAGTGAAACCCTGTCTCTACTAAAAATACAAAAAATTAGCCAGGCGTGGTGGCGGGCACCTGTAGTCCCAGCTGCTGGGGAGGCTGAGGCAGGAGAATGGTGTGAACCCGGGAGGCAGAGCTTGCAGTGAGCCGAGATCGTGCCACTGCACTCCAGTCTGGGCGCCAGAGTGAGACTCCGTCTCCAAAAAAAAAAAAAACCAAAACAAAATAAATAATAATGCATTTTATATTTCAAAATTGCTAAAAGAGTAGATTTTAAATGTTTTCACCACAAAAAAATAAGTATATAAGGCAAGGAATTTGTTAATTAGCTTGATTTAATCATTCCACATGTAAACATATATCGAAGTATCACATTGTATCCCATAAATATAAACAACTATTATTTATCAATTTAAAAAATTAAAGGCCAGGCACAATGGCTCACGCCTGCAATCCCAGCACTTTGGGAGGCTGAGGTGGGCAGCTCACCTCAGGTCAGGAGTTTGAGACCAGCCTGTGCAACATGGTGAAACTCCATCTCTACAAAAATACAAAAATTAGCCAGACTTGGTGGTGCATTCCTGTAATCCCAGCTACTCAGGAGACTGAGGCGGGAGGATCACTTGAATCTGGGAGGCAAAGGTTGCAGTCAGCCGAGATCGCACCACTGCACTCCAGCCTGGGCAACAGAGTGAGACTCCGTCTCAAAAAATGAAAAAAAAAAAAAAATTAAGTACAAACTATTTTCTCAAGGAAGCTTCAATTAAGGCATGGAAAACACACACAGAGCTCCACCTCAAAAATGCTTATGATATAAAAATGCTCTACAGGATTCTAAAACCATGGGGTGAAAGTTTGCTGAGGAATAGGATATTTGCAGTTACGAAAAATTGACCAGGTGTAGTGGCACATGCCTGTAGTCCCAGCTACTCGGGAGGCCGAGGTGGGAGGACTACTTGAGAACAGCAAGTCAAGGCTGCACTGAGCCATGATCATGCCACTACACTCCAGCCTGGACAGCAAAGTGAGACCCTTTCTCAAAAAAAAAAAAGGCCACATGCAGTGGTTCATGCCTGTAATCCTGGCACTTTGAGAGGCCAAGGCAGGCGAATCACCTGAGGTCTGGAGTTCAAGACCAGCCTGGCCAACATGGTGAAACCCCGTTTCTACTAAAAATATAAAAATTAGCCAGGTGTGGTGGCGGGCACCTGTAATCCCAGCTACTTGGGAGGCTGAGGCAGGAGAATTGCTTAAACCCAGGAGGCAGAGGTTGCAGTGAGCCAAGATCATGCCATTGCACTCCAGCCTGGGTGACAAGAGTGAGACTCCATTTCAAAAAAATATATATATTTTTTTCTTTACCTGCTTACACTATTATGTGTTTATACTATTCCTTATCTGCTTACATACAGTTCTTCTATTTTCTAAAGATGACTTTTGGGTTTTACATTATATTCTACACTGTTCTTTAAACTGAAGTCTTTAGATCCTTCGGATTTAAAATAAAACACACCCACTGCTTTTTGGGTTTTAGTGTAAGACACTTCTTTATCTCATCCACTTCTCAGGAGATGGAAAACATCTGGGTCACAGATATTCCATAATGATAACCCTAAAAGAATTTAGAAATTATGCAAAGATTACTCCTCATGACTTTCCTCTAGAACTACTGCTGTTTAAACTTTTACTCTGGGCTGGGCGCGGTGGCTCATGCCTGTAATCCCAGCACTTTGGGAGACCAAGGTGGGTGGATCACATGAGGTCAGGAGTTCGCAACCAGCCTGGCCAACATGGTGAAACCCCATCTCTACTAAAAATACAAAAATTAGCTGAGCGTGGTGGCATGCACCTGTAATCCCAGCTACTTGGGAGGCTAAGGCAGGAGGATCACTTGATCCCTGGAGGTGGAGGTTGCAGTGAGCCTAAATCGCACGCCACTGCGCTCCAGCCTGGGCGACAGAGCGAGACTTTGTCTCAAAATAATAATAACAATAATAAACTTTTACTCTGTAGGTCTCACAAGTTTTTTTCATTTTTTCCCGGCCTTCTTATGCCATCCCAATGTTCTCTCACATCTACTAACTTATAACCGCAGCACCAAAGCATACAGAATAATAACTGATGTTTAAAATCATGGAAAAAGGTACCCCCAGTCTCCCTCATGTTCCAATAGATGCTTGCCCGGACACATCACCTTTGCTACTGAGAAAGTGTAGAGAAAAGGTGTGTGGGAGGATGAGGGCGTACTGAAGACAGTAAATACATCCTAACATCGTGTTGGCTTCTTAATTTGTTACACTGAAACTTAGGTGTACCTAAAGCCACACCACCATTACAACATCGATAACTGCCCAGTAACCATTTGGAATACCTCCAACAATGAGGAACAATATTTCTTGGACTCTCAGTTTATGATAAGTGCGCCTCTGTCATCAACCAATACCATTCAAGTAAGGTACAGTGATGGCTCTGGAAAAGGAGGTGGCTTTAAATATCTACATTCAAAGGGGAAAAAAAATACACGCACACACACAGGCTGCCTTAATATCCCTGTTTGTCCAGCGGGCAATGGGACTGGGAAATGATCGCGCCTCCTCAGAGCCAATACAGTAGGAGGCGAACATGGGGCAGTGCATTACTCAATGCCCTGCAGACTGACCCTTAGGAATGAGACAGGAAGAAAAGTATTTGGAGATAGAATAGAGAACCTCCCTCAAGAGCCCTACTAGGATGGGCCAACACTTCCTGTTTGTTTAGTGGTTCATCCTCCAGAACACTTTCTTTGTCAAAAAGGCTATAACAGCCCAGTACAGTGGCTCATGCCTATAATCCCAGCACTTTGGGAGACCAAGGCGGATGGATTGCTTGAGCCCAGGAGTTCAAGACCAGCCTGGCCAACATGGCGAAACCCCATCTCTACTAAAAAGACAAATAATTAGCCAGGAGTGGTGGCACATGCTTGTAGTCCCAGCTACTTGGGAGTCTGTGGTGGCAGAATCGCTTGAACCCAGGATGCAGAGGTTGCAGTGAGCCAAGATCGTTCCACTGTACTCCCGCCTGGGTGACAGAGCAAGACCTCATCTCAAAAAAAAAAAAAAAAAAAAAGCTAGGCCAGGTGTGGTGGCTCACACTTGTAATCCCAACACTTTGAGAGGCCAAGGCGGGAGGATCACCTGAGGTCAGGAGTTCGAGACCAGCCTGGCCAACATGGTGAAGCCCGGTCTCTACTAAAACTACAAAAATAAGCTGGGCGTGGTGGCAGGTGCCTGTAATCCCAGCTACCCAGGAGACTGAGGCAGGAGAATCATTTGAACCCAAGAGACGGAGGCTGCAGTGAGCCATGATCATACCACTGCACTCCAACCTGGGTGACAAGAGTGAAACTCTATCAAAAAAAAAAAAAAAAAGGGCTGACAGCCAGAATACAGCAATTGTTAAGACCTGATCTTTCCAACTGCTGCCTATTCACTCCCTAGATAAGTCACCTTATCTTAATCACTGAAATTTGAGCACAGACTCTAAATATGGACATAAAAACCCATCCCCCAACACCCTGCCTGCTAAGTACATTAGTGTCTCCAAAGTGCCCTCGAAATACAGAATGCAGTATCTGTGCCTGTGATTTTTACTCCGACTCACAAAGACCTGGTTTGGTTTCTGCTGACTCACCTACCAGTACACACTGCTTGCCTTGTTCCTCCACGTTCCAACACATGCCTGCTGAGGCACATCAGCTTTGCTAGACAAGTGGAAGATGTGTTTGTGGAGGGAGGGGTGGCACTGAGGAGACACTAAGGATACAGCTAGTCATATTTTTCCAATGTGAATGTCCTGAAGGAGACAGAATCTAGGTGCTGGCATGTCTATGCTTGAGTCTGAAAGATGATAGGCTCCTACAAGTAGTTTTAGGGACTCCTATCCAGTCCTTTCTTTTTTTTTTTTTTTTTTTTTTTTTGAGACAGAGTTTCACTCCTGTTGCCCAGGCTGGAGTACAATGGCACGATCTCAGCTCACCACAACCTCCACCTCCCGGGTTCAAGCAATTCTCCTGCCTCAGCCTCCCGAGTAGCTGGGATTACAGGCATGCACCACCACGCCTGGCTAATTTTGTATTTTTAGTAGAGATGGGGTTTCTCCATGTTGAGGCTGGTCTTGAACTCCTGACCTCAGGTGATCTGCCCGCCTCAGTCTCCCAAAGTGCTGGGATTACAGGCGTGAGCCACCGCACCCGGCCTATCCAATCCTTTCTATTCAACTTCCTTATTGCAAACAGACCTACCAAGGGAAAGAGGAGTTGGACTTTGCTTCCTGAACTATGTAACAATCTAAATATAGCAGAGTCCTCTCTTATCCACAGGGGAAATGTTTCAAGACGCCAGCAGATGCCTGAACCCCTAGAGAGTATGGACCCTATATGGACAGTTGTCCCTCAGAATCTGCAGGGCACTGGTTCCAGGATCTCCTGCAGATGCCAAAATCCACAGATGCTCAAAAGTCCCTTATATATATAAAACGGTGTCGAATTTGCATATAATCTATACCCCCTATATACTTTCAATCTTCTCTACATTACTTACAACACCTAATACAATGTAAATACTATGTAACCAGTTATTATACAATATTGGTTTTTTATTTGTACTGTTTTTTATTGTTGTATTGGTATTTTTATTGTTTTTTTTTTTTTTTTTTTCTGAATATTTTCGATCCAAGTTTGGCTGAATCTGCGGATGTGGAGCCCATGGCCACGAAGGGCTGACTCTACTTTGTTTTCTCCCTATATACACAGAGCTATGATAAAGTTTTATTTATAAATTAAGCACAGTAAGAGATTAACAGGAATAACTAATAATAAAACAATTATAACAATATACTGTAATAAATGTTATCTGAATGTGGCTGTTCTCTCTCACTCTCAAAATATCTTACTACATCATACTCACCTATTTTCTGACCGTGGCTGACTGTGGGTAACTGAAACCACGGAAAGTAAAACTGCGACTAAGGGTGAGCTCTTGTAGTAGCAAGTTGCAATTACATATGCTATTCCACATTTCAAAAATCTAACTCAAACTTGACCAATTACTACAAGGAACTATTTGCAAAAAGATGAGGCATAATTTTTCCTTTGCACTCTATTCCTGCCTTCCCCATCTCTAGGCCTACATTATCTTCCCCACTAAAACCCAATGCCCAGTATTTTTCTATCAGCATATCAATGCCCAGTTCCAAAGCCGAGTGCGCAAGCAGACTTTACATTTGGGATGTTTCTCTGCTTCTACCGTGGTGGTGCTTAATGAGCTGGTGCTCTAAGAGGCAAGCTCTGGAAACTCAAGGGTTAAAGTGCATCTAATATTCCTGGCATTCATTAATCCTATCATCTTGCTGTACACTCAGGTCTTTCTGGAGATAACAGTGTAAGGACATTGCCCCCTATGTAAAGGCCTTTGAAGCTTGAAGGAGTATATGGCTAAGCGAAAGTAGGGAAAAGAGCTGGACTCAAGAACCAGAAAATCTAGATCAGGGGTCAGCAAACTACAGCTAGCTGGCCAAAGATGGCCCACTACCTGTTTTTGTAATTAAAATTCGATCAGAACACAGCCATGTTCACTCACTGATGTGTTTATTGTCCATGGCTGCTTTTGTGCTACAACAGCAGAGCTGAGTAGTCACAGATACTGTGTGACCTGCAAACCCTAAACTATTTACAATCTGGCCCGTTACTGAAAAAGTTTGCTACCTCTCATCCTAGATGAAATCAGGACCAGCTTTATTAATAATTTGGTGGCAAATTCTACCTAAATTTACCCAATCTAAAGTGAAAAACAGTGTTAGAAATAGAATTATTTCGAGTACAGTGGTGCAATCATGGCTCACTGCAGCCTCGAACTGCTGGGCTTAAGTGATCCTCCTGCCTCACCCTCCCAAGTAGCTAGGACTACAGGCACATGCCACTACACCCAGCTAATTTTTTGTAGAGATGGGGGTCTCACTTTGCTGCCCAGGTTGGTCTCAAACTCCTGGCCTCAAGCAATCCTCCCACCTCAGCCTCCCAAAGTGCTGGGATTATAGGTATGAACTATCACACCAGGCTGAGAACTTATAAATGTAAAAGTGAATTTCAAAACATGAGCTTCTCTGACAGATTAGTTCTAAACTAAAGTTCAACGTTACTTGTCATGAGCCCTATAAACTGTCACATTTAAGACCTTAGCTTTGAACTGGATCTCTTCCCTCTAATTTCGTCAGAGAAACCCTTATTCAACAAACACTGAGCGGCACTTACTCTGTGCCAGACCCTGGGTTAGCCACTGGCACACATAATAAAGCTTATACTTCTTCGGCCTGGACATGTAGTAGAATATTTCAGGAAAGAAAAAACCATGAGGGACACATGTAATAGTTCTTACAGTTGAACAATTTTACTCTGCCACTATTCTACCAGAATATTTGGTGAGTAAACTCTTGTGTTTAGAATGTGATCTTCCTAGAGTGGGTTATGGAACTCATATCTCTGAGGCAGGGTCTATGATAGAATTCAGGAAGTCTGTGAATTTGGATGAAAAAGACTGTATCTTTATTTTCACTTCAGTGATGAACATAAGCTACAGCAGTAATAGCAGACTTATTAGACAAATGGATTTGTTACCAGTAGAAATCATGGATATTTTCATACCATATCATACTTCTTAAATTTTGATAACTATATATCAATATAATTCAATATAACTGGTTTTCTTTATAGTTCTATGTATTTTATTTTTGCATATAAAAACATATTCCAAAAAGGAACTCTAAAAGCTTTCACCACACTGCCAAAGGAGTCCATAACACAAAAAAGATTAAGATTCCTGTTCTACGGTCAAAAAATAAAGAAACATAATCACATTTAGGGTAATTTTCTGTATATAAAAAAACTACCTGTTTTTTATTAAGGGTCATATGCTCATTTTCTATAGAGCAGGGACCATATGTCATTATTTTTGGCAGCCTTCACTTCAAAACTGGTTTGCAAGTAGTTGTGAATGTGATATAACAGCCTAGCAGATTCATGGGTTCCCCTGGCTCACTGGCAGTCATCCTAGTCCAAACATAGAAAGCCTCAAACTAATATAACTTTCAACTTGTGGTACAAGAGAATTCCCAAAAGAAAGCAAGGGGCAAGGCACAGTGGCTCACGCCTGTAATCCCAACACTTTGGGAGGCCGAGGCGGATGGATCACTTGAGGTCTGGAGTTTAAGACCAGCCTGGCCCACATGATGAAACCCCGTCTCTACTAAAATACAAAAATTAGCTGGGCGTGGTGGCGGGCACCTGTAATCCCAGCTGAGGCAGGAGATCGCTTGAACCCAGGAGGCAGAGTTTGCAGTGAGCTAAGATTGCACCACTGCATTCTAGCCTGGGCAACAAGGCAAGACTTGGTCTCAAAAAATAAATAAATAAATAAATAGAAAGAAAGGAGGGAAAAGACACACACAGAAAGCCTGCTATTAATATATATCTATTAACCTGGTTTACGAATGGTAAAATACAGGTAATTCAATTATTTACATTAATGAATAAGGTAGGTAACAAACCTAAAAGAATGCCAAATATGAGACTCATTTCTTTTTATCTTCTGAGGTGGCGCTTCGGCACATGCTGCAAACGTAAAAAGGTACATTCCTTGAATTTACTGGCTAAATTGTAGAAAGGAATTAGGATTTAAATTCTGCCACAAATAATCCACAAAGCAATTAACAAAACAAATCACAGATGAAACATGTGTTTAAGTACTCATTTGACAGGAATACTGTGAAAAGAGAGGTTTAGGACTAAAAACAGAAAGGTTTACGCTTAGGAAAGAGGTTCAAGGACTTAGGGAAAAGGAGATGCCAGAAGCTGCCAAGCAGATAAGCAGGAGGGTTGACAAGGCCTAAAGTGCTGATCCCCTCACTCTCCCAAGTCACCCCTTTTTCTAATATGCTTGATGTGTGATAATGTCAAAGATGTACAAGCAGCCAGCCACAATCTTGAGCAAAAAAGGGACTCTCACAGTCCTGTGATAATTGGCAAGTGCCCTGACTTTAGGGTTTCTCCAACTGGAAACAAATCCAAGAAAAAAATGACTTTTACAAAAATGTATTCTTTCCAATCTATTTCAAGGTAACACAAACTTTGATGTAAGGGAGACCTATTTCTGCTTGATTCAGAAAGGGAAATTTCTATTAGTAGAAAAATCAGAAGGTCTGCTTCAGATCAGTTATGTAAATACTTAGAAAAGCATGATGCTTAAGTAAGAACTCTACTATTATTAGCAGATATTTTGCTATTATCCATCATTAATAACAATGGAAAATTATGCTTTTTATTTGAGCATTTCAAAAACTAATTCTCATCAGCACTTATAACATCTCTAGGAGAGGTTATTCAGCTCCCTAGGGAAATACTGTCTAACTTAAAGGCCAGACAGCTCTGAATTATAAATGGAGTCAGATGGTTTACAAACTCTATGAAATTACATACAAAATTTGGTAAGTTCACATATATTTCAGATTATTAAAGGGCTGTTTAATCATAAGAAGAGTTACCTCTGGCCATGGTTAGAAAATCTACAACAAGAGAAAGCAATAATGCTTTCCATACATAGTCACAGGGCGAGTAAATGTTAACATCGGAGAAAGTCACCAGGGACTGCTAAGTCCAGGCTCTATCTGACGAGGTCATTCTTCTTAAGGGATCACATATCCAAAAAGCAGGTCCCCAGGGAAAATAAAACCCCACTGCTTATGGGAGGAGAGTCATAGACTGAGGGGGAATGAAGCTCATTCTTTATCAACCAGGCCATCATGCTAGTTTTCAAAGGGAATTTGCAAAGCAAATCTTTTGTCCTACAAAAAGATTCATTTCATTCAGCAAAGAAAAAAGACCCTAGAGGGAGTACTGCTGAATCCCAAGCCTCTTCCACAGTCTGTTACCTTGAAGCATAGATGCTGTTCTAGAAGAAACCCCTGGGTAGTTCCTTTTAGCTATGTAGAATGTAAGTCAAGTAAACATCTAATGTGCTAGAAAAAGGTGTAACTAACCAATTTATTTAGCCAAGAAAAGGCTATCCCCCACCATTCTCAACTCATTCCCATTCAAGAACCTATCTGAACTCTATTCCCCTATTACAGAGTGTAGGGGGCAGGAGTGGTTATCAGATTAATACACTGTACGATAAATTAAATGACCTCATACTTCTCCTATTATAAAAAGCACTGGTGGCACAATCAATAGCACCTTCTAAAAAGAGCTGTAAGGCCAGGCGTGGTGGTCACACCTGTAATCCCAGCACTTTGGGAGGCTGAGGTTAGTAGATCACCTAAGCTCGGAAGTTTGAGACCAGCCTGGCCAACGTGGTGAAACCCTGTCTCTACTAAAAATACAAAAATTAGCCAGGCATGGTGGCACATGCCTGTAGTCCCAGCTATTCAGGAGGCTGAGGTAGGAGAATCGCTTTGAACCAGGAGGCGGAGGTTGCAGCGAGCTGGGATCGTGCCAGCACACTCCAGCCTGGGCAACAGAGTGAGACTCTGTCTCAAAAATAAATAAATAAATAAATAAAATAAAAAGGGCTGTAAGAGAGAAGGAAGTAGTAACATTCACTTTAATTTCATCTACATCACTCACAGCCCTAAAGAAAGGGAATGTGTAGGAAATAAAGTCAGCAGCTAAAGCTTCATTTACATTACCCATAGTGTGGTATCATTCCTAGCATGCCAGGCTTGGCCTCAGTGTACAAATCATTGAATTAGAGAGCTAAGTACATTGAAGTCTCTCCCATGTGGCATCCCAATCACCATTATTGACACTGCGAGTGTCATCATTTTGTCCCCCTTTCTTTCTCATCATGGTCATAGTTTACTGCTATTACTGCACTAAATCCCATTCTCAATGTCTTTTTACTAGCAATTCTCTGTACTTGCCAAATCACTAAATATCAAGATAAATAGGCTCTGGAGGTCATATCTGCCTTCCTACTTCCATTTTATTGTTGGCAGATTATTTTCTGCCCCTATCTTGAGTTTCCTTCCCAACCCTTGTTCCTACGCTCAAAGCTTCCCGTTCCTCATGAGCAGTTTCTCATACCACAAACCCCTAAATCCTCACTGCCTCTATAAATATCACAAATACCACTGTCCCTTTTTTTTTTTTTTTTTTTGAGACAGAGTCTCCCTCTGTCACCCGGGCTGGAGTGCAGTCTCACAATCTCAACTCACTGCAACCACCGCCTCCTGGGTTCAAGCAATCCTCCCACCTCAGCCTCCCCAGTAGCTGGGATTCCAGGCATGCGCCACCACACCCGCCCAGTGTCCCTATTTCAATATAATTTCTGGTTCTCCCAACTGAGATGCCGAGTTTCAGCTCTCACAGCTAGTCACCTCAATTACATTCAGGAAGCCTCCTCCAGTTAGGCCAGGCTAATACAGCCTGTTCCCAATTGCATCTTTGTACTTCCAAAGAGTTCCCTATTCATAGAATCATTACATTTTAGAACCAAAAGAAAACTCAGAAATCATCCGGTCCAATGTTTTTCAAACTTTTAAAGTACATTTTGCTTCTTACACTTTGAGATGTACAAAATCTATTTTACATCATAATCTCATACACACATAACTCAAACAAATCACATGAAACAATACTTACCCTTACTATGTAAACACACTGAAAGTTTCTATTCTATTCCACTTTTTAAAAGAAAAGTACAGGTTCAGGCCAGGCGCGGTGGCTCACACTGTAATCCCAGCATTTTGGGAGGCCTAGGCGGGTGGATCACCTGAGGTCAGCAGTTCAAGACCAGCCTGGCCAACATGGAGAATCCCCATCTCTACTAAAAATACAAAAATTAGCCGGGCGTGGTGGCGCATGCCTGTAATCCCAGCTACTAGGGAGGCTGAGACAAGAGAATCGCTTGAACCAGGGAGGCGGAGGTTGCGGTGAGCTGAGATCGCGCCACTGCGCTCCAGCCTGGGCAACAAGAGCGAAACTGTCTCAAAAAAAGAAAAAGAAAAAAAGTACAGGTTCCATCCACTAAATTGGTTTCACAGCTCAATACTAGGAAGAAACCCATAGTGTGGGAGGCATTAAACTAGTCCAAACTTCCCATTCACTGATGAAGAAACTGTAACTCAGTGGTGAAGTTTGTCCGTAAAAATTAAACTCAGGCCTGTTAAGTTCCAGACCAGTGTTCTTTCCACTAAAGACCTTCTCTGCCCAGTCACGGCCAATCACACCCCGTGCCCAAACACAACCCTACAGCGCCATCGCCCATCACGGATGCCATCCTCTTCTCCAAGTCAGCCCCTCGAAGTCACTGCTCTGGGTCGGAGTCCCCTCGCGGCCGCTGCTCGTGTTCCCTTAGGTCCGGATCCCCCACAGTCACTACCAATCGATCAGAGTCTCCTTGGAGTCCTTGCCCCTTGATCATAGTCCCTTGCAGTCACTGCCTCATACTTCCTCGGTCCAAGTGCCGTCGCAGCCCCGGCCTCGCGCTCTCCGAGGTCACCGTGTTTCGCATTCACTGCTCCTGGGTCACAGTCCCCTCGCTGTCACTGGCCCTCGGTCACAGTAGCCTCCCAGCCCCTGGCTCCCACTGCCCTCGCTGTCACTTACCACTCTTCCTCAGTCACAGTCACCTCGCGGTCCCAGCCCCACAGTTTGTCCTCTCAAACAGAGACGCAAAGATAGGCACACACCTGCAACTCACGCTCCCCCGAGCCCGGTCCGGTCGGATTTCTGGCCGGCGCCGCGTCACTGACTAGGGAAGTTGAGGAGGTTGCGGGGAGACGCCCGGGGAAGGCAGCTGATGGAAGAGCCAGCCGGAAGTTCCGCCTACTTCCCCTACCTCTGTCAATCCGACCACGACTTCTCCTTGAAAACCACGACTCCTGACACAGTAGTTCCGCCTCCTCAGAGGCCCCCGGGATGAAGTGACCCAGCAGAAATACCAGAGACCGGAGACGGAATGGCCCAGGGTCAGCCTCCACCCGGAACCGGAGGATGCAGCGAAGACGTCTCCTTGAAGTGGGATACGGATGTGAACCGGCCCAAGTGCTCGCCGGTCCGTCAAGACGCGCTGCCCGGCTGCTCCCGTGTCCAACTCGGGCTGTGTCCGCCCAGGCGGGCCTGTGCGCGGAGGTCCTACCGCTGCACCTCCGCGCCTACCGCAGCCCGCACCCCCGCACCCGGGCAGCCAACGTGCAGGAGGCCCGGGCGCCTTCAGCGGAGACGCCCCGACCGCGGCTGCCTCGCCGCAGCGTTAGCTTTTACCTACGTGGGGAAGTAAGGGGAATTTGCGACCGCCAGCCCAGTCCGCTGAAAACCTGTGGCTGACCCACCCTCTTCCTTTTTCTGACCCACGTTGGCTCCAAAAAAAAAAATCCCTAGGGATCCACTGGGAGCCAGTTGAGCAGGAGTGGATTAAGACACGTGTCGCAGGGTGTATGGTGGAAAGAAACGTTTTCCTTTGCTAGAATGAACCTTGGGAAGGATCCCTTTTGATTCCGTAGATGTAAGAGGCTACACAATATTATGGAAGAAGGATGTAAAAAAAATGTATTATTATTTTTTAGTTACCAACTGGACTGAAGTAAAAGACCTTTTAAACTTATTTACTTATTCTTTTATTTTTTTAAAAGACGGAGCCTCGCTCTGTCGCCCGGGCTGGAGTGCAGTGGCGCGATCTCAGCTCACTGCAGCCTCCGCCTCCAGGGTTCAAGGGATTCTCGTGCCTCATCCCGAGTAGCTGGGATTACAGGCATGCGCCACCACGCCCGGCTAATTTTTGTATTTTTAGTAGAGTCGGGGTTTCACCATGATGGTCAGGCTGGTCTCGAACTCGTGACCTCAAGTGATCTGCCCGCCTCAGCCTCCCGAAGTGTTGGGATCACAGGCCACCGCGCCCAGTCAACTTTTTGTTGCTATTGTTGTTGCTTTGCTTTTTTTATTTTATTTTGCTTTTTTTGTCTACATCAAGGGTATCCAATCTTTTGGCTTCCCTGGGGCACATTGGTAGAAGAGGAATTGTCTTGGGCCACACATAAAGTACACTAACAGTAACAATAGCTGATGACTTAAAAAAAAAAATCGCAAAAAAAAAAAAAACCTCATGTGTTTTAGAAGTTTACAAATGTGTGTTGGGCCGCATGCAAAGCTGTTCTGGGCCGCGGCTTGGACAAGCTTGGTCTACATGCTTAACTTGAAAGTGGCTGAGAAGAAAGAGGATGGGTATAACTGCATCTGCTGAGGAGTTTCCAGGGGGAAAAAGGATTTAAACCTGAATTTCAAATATGTCTTTGAACATGGCGGTTAGACTAAGGTACCCCAAATAAGGACAGTTAGCTGGAGAAGACACCGCGGCCTCTAAGGGGAACATCACTACAAAAATAGAGTTGAGATAGTAACCAACATCAGAATCTCAGTCTTAAGGGAGGATGAATTTCATAAGACCCTGACACTGTGGACAAAGAAAATGGATGGGTGTTTAGGCTAATAAGCTATGTAAGACATAGGATGGCAAGAGCTGAGCAAAAACACTGTGTGAGAAAGATGAAGGCAACAATTCAAAATGTAGGAAAAAGCAGCCAGGCATGGTGTTTCATGCCTGTACTCCCAGCATATTGGGAGGCTAAAGCAGGAGGATCACTTGAGGCCAGGAGTTCAACACTAGCCTGGGCAACATAGCAAGGCCTCATCTCTATAAAAAATAAAATTACTGTTGGGAGGGCAACATGGGCGGATCACAAGGTCAGGAGTTCGAGACCAGCCTGGCCAACATGGTGAAACCCTGCCTCTACTAAAAATACAAAATTAGCCAGGCGTGGGGGCGCATGCCTGTAATCCCAGCTACTTGGGAGGCTGAGGCAGGAGAATCTCTTGAACCTGGGAGGCTGAGGTTTCAGTGAGCCAAGATGGCGCCACTGCACTCCAGCCTGGGTGACAAAGCAAGACTCTGTCTCAAAAACTAAATAAATAAAATAAAATTACTGGCCAGGTGTGGTGGCTCACACCTGTAATTCCAGCACTTTGGGAGGCCAAGGCAGGCAGATCACTTGAAGCCACAAGTTTGAGACCAGCCTGGCCAATGTGGCAAAACCCCATCTGTACAAAAAAAAATACAAAAATTAGGTGGGCATGGTGGTGCCTGCTTGTAATCCCAGCTACTCGGGAGGCAGGAGAATCTCTTGAACCCAGAAGGCAGAGGTTAGTGAGCCGAGATCGTACCACTGCACTCCAGCCTGGGCAACAGAGCAACACTCTGTCTCAATAAATAAAAAAATAAAAATAAACATTTTTTAAAAATAGCCATGTGTGTTGGCATGCCTGTAGTCCCAGCTACTCAGGAGGCTGAGGTGGCAGGATCACTTGAGCCTAAGAGTTCAAGGCTGCAGCAAGTTACAGTCCCGCTACTGTGCCCCAGCCTGGGCAACAGAACAAGGCCCATTCTCTGAAAATAAAAATAAATAAATTCAAAAGTTATTTTAAAGATGTAGGAAAAAGCTTTATGCACAAATAAAGCCATGTCTTTATTTTTTATAATAGTGAAAAATCAGAAATAAGCAGACCCTCAATAAGGAACTGGCAAAAATAACAATATGGTATAACCTATTGAAATAAATGCCGCTATTAAGTCATGCATCTTAAAATCATAATGCAAATAAAATGACATAAAAACTGTTCATAACATCATGAGAAATGAAAAATGAGGGTACAAAATTATATGTTTTTTAAACCTTGGAAATAAAAAACATTGGTAGAAAATATACCAAAATTTTTACCATTGGTTATGTTTGAACAATTGAAATGGCTTTTCCCCTACTTTTTTCTCTGTGTTCCAGTGTAACAAGAATATAGTAGGGCCGGGCGCAGTAGTTCACACCTGTAATCCCAACACTTTGGGAGGCTGAAATGGATGGATCATGAGGTCAGGAGTTTGAGACCAGTCTGGCCAATATGGTGAAACCCCGTCTCTAGTAAAAATACAAAAATTAGCCAAGCGTGGTGGCACTTGCCTGTAGTCCCAGCTACTTGGGAGGCTGAGGCAGAAGAATCACTTGAACCCAAGAGGCGGAGGTTGCAGTGGGCCGAGATTGTGCCACTGCACTCCAGCCTGGGCGACAGAGAGAGACTCTGTCTCAAAAAAAAAAAGAAAGAAAGAGAGAAAGAGAGAGAGAGGGAGAGAGAGAGAGAGACAGAGAGAGAGAGAGGAAGGAAGGAAAGAAAGAAGGAAGGAAAGAAAGAAACAGAACATAGTGTAACAAAATCAAAACATTAAAAATATAAGGCCTAAAACACAACAGATTCAGTTGTCAAACTACTAACATCTTTATTTTGTCAAGATATTTAACAATATTAAAAAGTTCAGATTTCTTCATGGTCATGTCTTTTACCAGCTTTTCAAAGATTCATTCAGTAGTAGAAACAGCCAAATGCTGCTACAACGCAGAATAAACTGTCCTAAAAAATAAATACAACACACACACACATCCAGAATGTTAGTACTAAAGAGGGAATGAGAGCAGCACAGGCAACTGAAACTAACACCATCTCAGATCTTTCCAATTTTTTTTTTCTTTTTTGAGACAGGGTGTCACTCTATCACCCAGGCTGGAGTGCAGTGGTGTGATCTCAGCTCACTGCAGCCTCGACCTCCTACACTCAGGCAATCCTTCTACCTCAGCCTCCAGAGTAGCTAGGACCACAGGTGCCTGCCACCATACCAGGCTAATTTTGTTTATTTTTTGTAAAGATGAGGTCTCACTATGTTGCCCAGGCTGTTCTTGAACTCCTGGGATCAAGCAATCCACCCATGTTGGTCTCCAAAAGTGCTGGGATCATAGGCGTGAGCCACCTCACCCAGCCACCAATTTTCAATCAGGAAGACTTTTTCCTTCTTCAAGAAGTGAAGGGTTTCCAGAGTATAGCTACACTATTGCTTGCCTGAGGGTGACTACAAAATTGCTTGCTAAAAGGTTAGGATGGGTAAAGAATTAGATTTTCTGAATGCAAAAATAAAATGTGAACTAATGAACTTTAGGTAATACATATTCATAAAATAATTATTCACATATTTCCTGATTTATCACAGAAATAATGTATGAAATGCTTTGAGTTTCTTGGAGTAAACTCCATTACTCATCCCAAGAAACCATATTATAAGTATCACTGATAATAAGAACAACAGGACCTTGTCATAAATTCTGGATAAGAGAAATAGTCTCTGGGTGTTTGTTCTTAATTGATAAAATTTACTTGTCCATCTTTTAGTTCAGAATCACAAAATGCTTTCCAGAGCCCAGTCAAATTGCTTAAAACATTTTTAGGCATTTATTACAAGATTTCCACCTGCCTCAGCAACTCCTGCACCACTAACCTCACCTCCAGCCTGGTAATGATGGGATTAAAACAATTCCAACTCAAGTACCTGATGATTAACCAAAAGCAAAATTCTTTGGTTTAGCCCAGCTCCCTGGCTCCTTGGGTGGATAACTCTGAACTGTGTTCTACGACAGTGCTGTGATAAAGGACCTGCTTTGTTTTTAACTTCCGGTCCTTCATGGAAGGATGCTTTTGTAAAATGCAATAAAAATAGGTAACTCAGAACATGAAATGAAAAAAAGGAACATACAAATACAGCCCCAATTTTTTTCTTAGATTCACTGCACAGAAGATTACTTTGTCAAATTGCTGTAAGAGTTTCTAAACCAACCCTTATACTCAGTGTATTGTTTACCTCATCATGGACCTGTAACAAACAGGTCACAGAGCCGTGCTGGTCTGTGCACCCCACTGTGAGTGGCCCTGTTCTACAGCACCACCCAGAGTTCTCCAACAGGACTGAGCCCTGTCATCCAGCAGTTTTCCGCTCAATACCACATGATTTTCCCTCCTTTCTCATTTCCTCTGCCTCTACTAATGTTTCCTGGAATCTCCCAAATAAAGTGCTTTTTTTTTGAGACAGAGTCTTGCCCTCTCGCCCAGGCTGGAGTGCAGTGGCACAATCTTGGCTCACTGCAACCTCCGCCCTCTGGGTTCAAGCAATTCTCCTGCCTCAGCCTCCCAAGTAGCTGGGACTACAGGCGCCCGCCACCTTGCCCGGCTAGTTTTTGTATTTTTAGTAGAGATGGGGTTTCACCATGTTGGCCAGGCTGGTCTTGAACTCCTGACCTCAGGTGATCCACCCGCCTCGGCCTCCCAGAGTGCTGGGATTACAGGCGTGAGCCACCACACCCAGCCTAAAGTTTTTTATTACATATTTGTTCATTTGAGTATTGAGTGGCCCCCACTGGATGTTAATAGGCAGAAACCATGCCTGTCTTATTCATCATTTTGTCCCTAGCCCCTCAGGTGCAGAAGCTGACACATAATAGGAGCTCAGAACTATTTGTTGAATGAATGAATTGTATCATCTAAAGATGCATTTTTTGGCCAGGCCCAGTGGCTCATGCCTGTAATCCCAGCACTTTGGGAGGCCAAAGCAGGCAGATCACCTGAGGTCAGGAGTTGGAGACCAGCCTGACCAAATAGTGAAACCTTGTCTCTACTAAAAAATACAAAAATTAGCCGAGCGTGGTGGCATGCACCTGTAGTCCCAGCTACTCGGGAGGCTGGGGCAGGAGAATTACTTGAACCTGGGAGGCAGAGGTTGCAGTGAGCCGTGATGGCACCACCACTCTCCAGCCTAGGTGACAGAGTGAGACTCCGTCTCAAAACAAACAAACAAGATGCATTTTTTTTTTTTTTTTTGAGACAGAGTCTCGCTCTGTCTCCAGGCTGGAGTACAGTGGCACAATCTCGCCTCACTGCAACCTCTGCCTCCCAGGTTCAAGCAATTCTCCTGCCTCAGCCTCCCGAGTAGCTGGGATTACAGGCACCCAACACCACACCTGGCTAATTTTTGTATTTTTAGTAGAGACGGGGTTTCAGCATGTTGGCCAGGATGGTCTCAATCTCTTGACCTCATGATCCGCCCGCCTCGGCCTCCCAGAGTGCTGGGATTACAGGCATGAGCCACCGTGCCTGGCAAAAAAAACCATCTTCTTAGCTTGACTATTCCCCCAAAGATAGCTGATAAATTAAGATTTACATAGTACTTCCCACTGTCCAGCCCCTGATCCCTAGGGTAGTTAAGCATAAAATAAAACTTTGGTGGGGCTGGGCGCAGTGGCTCACGCCTATAATCCCAGAACTCTGGGAGGCCGAGGCGGGCCGATCACCTGAGGTCGGGAGCTCCAGACCAACCTAACCGACATGGAGAAACCCTGTCTCTACTAAAATTACAAAATTAGCCAGGTGTGGTGGTGCATGCCTGTAATCCCAGCTACTCGGAAGGCTGAGGCAGGACACTTCAACCCGGGAGGTGGAGGTTGTGGTGAGCTGAGATTGTGCCATTGCACTCCATCCTGGGCAACAAGAGCAAAATTCTGTCTCAAAAAATAATAAAAATAAAAATAAAACCTTGGTGAGACCATAGAATTTTAGAGCTAAAAGCTACCTTAAAATCATCTACATAAGCAGTGTCCATATCTGGCAGTCAGCAGAATCATGGGGAACTTTTTAAATATTCTGATTCACTGATCTAACCCCTGGCCTATTTGATCAGAATCTATTTGAATAGGGACCCAGCGTCTATATTTTAAACAACTTCCCAGATGATCCTTAGGCAGTCACAGCCAGTCTTTGGGAAAATGTACTTCAGCTTCCTAATGTCACTGATACAATGTGAGAAAAATCCAATGACTTACCTGAAGTCATTCAATTAGAAAGTGACAGAACTGGAGATGGAATCCCCCTCTTATTTCTTTTTACTTTTTTCTTTTTTCTTTTTTTAATTTTTGAGACAGAGTCTTGCTCTGCTGCCCAGGCTGGAATGCAGTGGTGCGATCTCAGCTCACTGGAACCTCCGCCACCAGGTTCAAGCAATTCTCCTGCCTCAGCCTCCCAAGTAGCTGGGATTACAGGCGTGCACCACCACACCCGGCTAATTTTTTGTGTGTGTGTTTTTAGCAGAGAAGAGGTTTCACAATGTTGGCCAGGCTGCTCTCAAACTCTTGACCTCAAGTGATCCACATGCCTCGGCCTCCCAAAGTGCTGAGATTACAAGCGTGAGCCACCCCACCTGGCCTCACTCTCTTAATTTACTCAATCTAGTTTCTGTTCTACTCTAACTCTGACTCTATGTATTCACAACCTGGGAGTAGACGAATAGAGGATGCAATCCTTTCTGGAGTAAATATAAAATAATAACTTCAATGAAACCTCTTTTATGTGTGTGTGTGTGTCACCCAGGCTGGAATACAGTGGCACAATCTCAGCTCACTGCAACCTCTGCCTCCGGGGTTCAAGCGATTCTCCTGCCTCAGCCTCCTGAGTAGCTGGGATTACAGGTGCCCGCCACCATGCTCGGCTAATTTTTATATTTTTAGTAGAGACAGGCTTTCACCATGTTGGCCAGGCTGGTCTTGAACTCCTGACCTCAGGTGATCCGCCCTCCTTGGCCTCCCAAAGTGCTGGGATTATAGGCATGAGCCACCGCGCCTGGCCTGAAACATCTTTTTAAAGATTCCTCTTTATTTTTGCTTAATTTTAATAAATGGCTTTAAGATAAAGTAATAAATTTTACTACTAAAAAAAAATGACCTTTGCTCATGGAATCCCTGCCATCCACATTTGTTTGCAACTTAGCAAAGTGTGATTGGTTCAAATGAACAAATAAGTGATTTTAAAATTTTAGTTATAAATTATTACTTTAATAAGGATTATCAGGATTGAGTTTTAGAACACTGATTTATGGAGGAAGTGGCTAAAAATAATGTTTAAATAATATGCTAACTAAATAATATGCTATTCAGAAATTCAAACCCATGAAAAATTATGTCATATGTAAACATGTAAGTTTCCTTGCCTATAAGCAGCACTCTAGGTTTCTGCTTTAGTAACACAAAAACTAACAGTAAAATCATTTCATTCACAAGTCAAAGATGAATGACTAAGACAGCAGTGTCTTTCCATCCCAATCAACAGTAAATAGTTTGATTTGCGGTGCCCACGTTCTTAGAAAGGGAAAAGAGGTTTCCAAATACACTTACATTCATGAAAACATCATGAGTATAGTTGTCAGTGTCAGCATCCCAGAAACAGCGAGAAGCCATGCTAAAAAATCCAAGAATGAAGAATTATCAACAATCTAACAAGGACCTAAACGACACATATCTGCCACGAGAAACAGTGTTCCTTAATACATTCTCATAGATCTGTACTTCCAAACCTTTCACAGGTAGGTACCCACAGAGTATTGTATTTGTACCAGAGAGTATACTGGGTAAACCGGAGAAACTAGAGTCAGATGAAGCTGCTTGCAACTAGAGGTGACCAGCCAGGTACTCTGACAGCCTCAGACCCTACCTGATGGCTACAGGGATCAATACTAGAGATTTGTGTGTGACTTTTAATGAGCTCAGCTCCTGCACAATAACAGGACGAGGAAGGCACAGAAAGAGCCCAACAGATTTAGTCCAACCTGATCATTTTATAGAGTCCCAGAAAAAGGAGCAAACTCTGAACTAGAATTCAGTCTTCTAACGAATTATAACTCCAAAAATATCTCTACAGAATGCTAAACTACCTTGAAATTGGCTATTCTCCTCTCTGCAATTCTTGGATAAGAAAAAAATATTAGTCAAAATAAAAGCCAATTAAAAATGGAAACAACTTAAATGCCCAATAGGACTGGATTGGTAAATGAAATTATGGTATTTCTCAGGATCTGGGAGAATTTTTTAAAAAAAGAAAAAAGAAATAATGATGTTTTCTGGCAATGAAATTCTATGTAGACCTTAAAGAAAAGTTTTGCAAGACACAGTGACGTGTCCCTGTAGTCCCAGCAACTCAGGAGGCTGAGACAGGGAGTATCATTTGAGCCCAGGAGTTCAGGGATGTAGTATGTGAAGATCACACCTGTGAACAGCCACTGCACTTCAGCCTGGGAGACACAGCAGGACCCTGGCTCTTAAAAAAAAAACAATTCTGCACTTTGGGAGGCCAAGGCGGGCAGATCACGAGGTCGGGGGATCGAGACCATCCTGGCTAACACGGTGAAACCCCATCTCTACTAAAAATACAAAAAATTAGCCAGGCGTGGCGGCAGGCACCAGTAGTCCCAGCTACTCAGGAGGCTGGTGTGAACCTGGGAGGCGGAGCTTGCAGTGACCTGAGATAGCACCACTGCACTCCAGCCTGGGAGACACAGCAGGACCCTGGCTCTTAAAAAAAAAATTCCAAGAACATGAAAAGCTATTCACAATATAATGTTGAGTGAAAAAAATAGGCTGGGCATGGTGGCTCACACCTGTAATCCCAGCACTTTGGGAGGCTGAGGTGGGCGAATCACCTGAGGTCAGGAGTTCGAGACCAGCCTGCCCAACATGGTGAAACCCCATCTCTACTAAAAATACAAAAATTGGCTGGGCATCGTGGCACACGCCTGTAATCCCAGCTACTCGGGAGGCTGAGGCAGGAGAATCACTTGAACCCAGGAGGTGGAGGCTGCAGTGAGCCAAGATTGTGCCACTGCACTCCAGCCTTGGCGACAGAGTGAGACTCTGTCTCAAAAACTAATAATAAATAATAATAATAAGTGAAAAAAAAATTACAAATGTTTTACATTTCTATTAAACGTATGTGTATGATTTATCATGCAAACACTTATTGAGCACTTACTTTGTGCCATTCACTAGTCTAAGTGTTTTACGTGTATTAACTCACTGAATCCTATGAGGTACTATAATTTTACCCATTTAGTGAATGTGACAAATGAGGATTAGAGAAATTAAGTGTACAAGGTCATACAACTAGGTAACAAAGCTTGGCTTTGCACCCAGGCAGTTCACAACCCATACCCACAGAGAAACATACACATATACCTTATATTATATTGGTTCTTTTTTTTCCTGAAACAAAAGGTCTCACATATTTATTACTGAACCCAGCCTACTATCGCAGGGCATATAAGCAAAGAGAAAAAATATATTCCCAATAAAACACGTCCAACTGTTCAGACAGTGGTGACGTTTTCAGCTTGCTATAGTAAGATGGCCGTGACCTTGATACAGCGTGAATATGTGTGCCAGCTCACGTGCAGTTCCTTATAGACCCAGCTTGGCTGTTCTGCAATGTCTCCTTTCCAGTTGTGCCTGATTTTATTACCAGTTTTCAACCAGATCCACTGGAGAATGGGACGATTTGGCTTTTGTTTCTTGGCCAGGAATCGCTTACTCTTAAAAGACTTGTGAGAAGACATGACAAGAAGCAGAATCAAGCACACACCACAAGAGAGAGTTGTTTGTTTTTTGAGACAAAAATATAAAATAGTGAGACCCCAATTGTTTTATTTATTTATATTTTATTTTTATTTTTTGAGAGGGAGTCTCACTCTGTCAACCAGGCTAGAGTGCAGTGGCACAATCTCAGCTCACTACAACCTCCACCTCCCGGGTTCAATGATTCTCCTGCCTCAGCCTTCCGAGTAGCTGGGACTACACACGTGCATTACCACGCCTGGCTAATTTTTATATTTTTTGTAGAGACAGGGTTTCACCATGTGGGCCAGGCTGGTCTCAAACTCCTGAGCTCAAGCAATCGGCCCACCTCAGCCTCCCAAAGTGCTGGGATTACAGGTGTGACTTGGAAAAAGTGTAATGGTACAGTTTGTAGCAGGCTAATAATGCTCCCACCAAGAACAGTAAGAAAAGCTGGATAAAATGAATCAGGGAGCTGCCAAAGCAAACAGGCCTAGAGGAGCCAAAATTCCAGAAAGAGGTGAACTCTAGGAGGTAAGCTGATATTCCGCAGCAGATTTTTTTCCTGGAGGATTTGCCAATTCAGGGCACAGGGCTAGATGCTGAGAATCTGGGCCTTGCTCAGGTAAAGAACAAATTACTGAGGGAAAATTTAACTAGTAGGAGAGTTGGCAGTCTTTACTTTTTAAAATTTTTTTATTTATTAATTTTACTTTGAGACAGAGTCTTGCTCTGTCACCCAGGCTGGAGTGCAGTGGCACGATCTCAGCTCACTGCAACCTCTGCCTCCCCAGGCCAAGCACTTCTCATGTCTCAGCCTCCCGAGTAGCTGGGATAACAGGCATGCACCACCATGCCTGGCTAATTTTTTTTTTTCTTTTTTTTTTTTGAGATGGAGTTTCACTCTGTTGCCCAGGCTGGAGTGCAGTGGCACAATCTTGGCTCACTGCAACCACAACCTCCCGGGTTGAAGCAATTATCCTACCTCAGCCTCCCAAGTAGCTGGGACTACAGGCACCCACCACCACGCCCGGCTAATTTTTGTATTTTTAGTAGAGACGGGGTTTCACCATGTTGGGCAGGCTGGTCTCGAATTCTTGACCTCAAGTGATCCACCGGCCTCGGCCTCCCAAAGTGCTGGGATTACAGGCATGAGCCACTGTGCTTGGCCCTAATTTTTTGTATTTTTGGTAGAGACGGGGTTTCACCATATTGCCCAGGTTGGTCTCCAACTCCTGAGCTCAGGCAATCTGCCCGCCTTGGCCTTCGAAAGTGGTAGGATTACAGGAGTGAGCCACTGTGCCCAGCAGAGTCGGCAGTCTTAACAAAGCTAAGGAGGTAAAATCAGATTCTGGAGGGAAGATCCCATAAAAAAGGAGAAAGTAGAACTGAGCGTATCACATGGTAGGTTTTCTTTTCAAGACATGCTGAATTCAGGCCGGGCACAGTGGCTCGCGCCTGTAATCCCAGCACTTTGGGAGGCTGAGGCAGGCGGATCACGAGGTCAGGAGATCGAGACCATCCTGGCTAACGTGGTGAAACCCCGTCTCTACTAAAAATACAAAAAATTAGCCGGGTGTGGTGGCGGGCGCCTGTAGTCCCAGCTACTCGGGAGGCTGAGGCAGGAGAATGGCGTGAACCCAGGAGGCGGAGCTTGCAGTGAGCCGAGATGGCACCACTGCACTCCAGCCTGGGCAACAGAGTGAGACTCTTTCTCAAAAATAGAATAAAATAAAATAAAGTAACTAGTATGACTAAATCACAAGGGTCCTTACAAAAGAAAGAGGGAGTAGGTGGGTCAGAGTCAGAGAGTTGAAGATGCTGTGCTGCTGGCTTTGAAATTGGAGGAAACGGCTTATGGGCTAAGGAGTTCAGGGGCCTCTAACTGGAACAGACGAGGAAATGGATTCAGTCTTAGAGCCTCCAGAAGGAATGCAGCCCTGCTGACATCTTCATTTTAGTTCAATGAAACCCATTTTGGATTTCTGATCTCCAGAACTGTAAAGTAATATATTTGTGCCATTTTCAGCACTGAGTTTGTGATAATTTGTTACGGCAGCAACAGGAAACTAGTACACTAAGGAAAAAGCCTCTGACATGAAGAGCAAAGTTTTATGCTGAGGAGACAAGATCTGAAAGTCAGCACCTGTTGGAGGTAGAGGCCTGCAGAGGCCTAATGAACATTCGAGGTTCTTGGTTGAAAGACTTGGAGGGCTACAATTAAGAAACAAGGGGGCCAGGCACAGTGGCTCACGCCCATAATCCCAGCAGTTTGGGAGGCCAAAGTGGGTGGATCACCTGAGGTCAGGAGTTTGAGACCAGCCTGGCCAACATGGTGAAACCCCATCTCTACTGAAATACAGAAATTAGCCGGGCGTGGTGGCGTGCGTCTCTAATCCCGGTTACTCAGGAGGCTGAGGCAGGAGAATCACTTGAACCCGGGAGGCTGAGGTTGTGGTGAGCCAAGATCATGCCATTGCACTCCAGCCTGGGCAACAAGAATGAAACTCTGTCTCCAAAAAAAAAAAAAAAAAAAAAATAGAAACAAGGGTGAGGCTGGGTGTGGTGGCTCACACCTATAATCCTAGCACTTGGGCACTTGGGGAGGCCAAGGCAGGAGAATCACTTGAGCCAAGGACTTCAAGACCAGCCTGGGCAACATGGTGAAACCCCATCTCAACAAAAACATACAAAAATTAGTTGGGCGTGGTGGCTCATGCCTACGGTCCCAGCTACTTGGGAGGCTGAAGCAGGAGGATCACTTGAGCCCAGGAGCCAGAGGTTGCAGTGAGCTGAGATCGCACCACTGCACTCCAGCCTGGGCAACAGAGTTGAGACTCTGTCTCAAAAAAGAAAAAAAAAAGGGATGAATTTAAGATAGGGCCTTTTTAAAACCACAACTCTCAGATGAGTTGGCACAAGAAAAGAAAATTTTTTAAAAAGATAAAACTGTAACCCAACCTCAATTCAGCTCAGTACCTGAAGCTAAGCGGCCAATACTCTTCC
This sequence comes from Homo sapiens, assembly GCF_000001405.40. Classification (NCBI taxonomy): domain Eukaryota; kingdom Metazoa; phylum Chordata; class Mammalia; order Primates; family Hominidae; genus Homo; species Homo sapiens. The sequence goes on from NC_000003.12 coordinate 196,301,220, forward strand.
TGCACAGCAGAAGAGAGAGTTAAGTCCTTTCTGGAAGAAAATAATATCATCTGGAGGTCTATAATTCTTTTAAGCAATATCTAAGATTCAAACTAGGCATGCCAAGAGACAAAGCCATATACATGATTATCAAGAAAAATACAATGGAAACAAACTCACACATGACCCAGATACCAGAGTAAGCATATAACAACATAAAAATAACTACTGTGGCTGGGCGCAGTGGCTCATGCCTGTAATCCCAACACTCTGGGAGGCTGAGCGGGGCAGATCACTTGAGATCAGGAGTTCCAGATAAGCCTGGTCAACATGGTGAAATCCTGTCACTACTAAAAATACAAAAACTAGGCGGGTGTGGTGGTGGGCACCAGTAATCCCAATTACTCGGGAGGCTGAGGCAGGAGAATTGCTTGAACCTGGAAGGTGGAGGCTGCAGTGAGCAGAGATGGCGCCACTGCACTCCAGCCTGGGTGACAGAGTGAGACTCTGTCTCAAAAATAAAATAAAATAAAATAATTAGTATGACTAAAATGTAAAAATAGAGTGGGGAGGGTTAAAAAAGATTGAAGGATAAAGCCTTTTACTAGATAACTGAAATCTATAAAAACTAAATGTAAATTCCCAAACTGAAAGATACAATAACTGAAATTAAGAACTCAGGTTATGGGTTTAACTGCAGATCAGATGCAACAGAAAAGAGGATGATTGACCTAAAAGGCCAATAGAAAAATATACAAATTGGCCAGGCACGGTGGCTCACGCCTGTAGTCTCTGCTACTTGGGAGGCTGAAGCACGAGAATCGCTTAAACCCAGGAGGTGAAGGTTGCGATGAGTCGAGATCACACCACTGCACTCCAGCCTGGGTGACAGAGCGAGACTCCGTCTGAAAAAAGAAAAAATATATAAACTGAAGCACAGAGAGGAAATAGAAAAATCAGAAAAAAGCATAAGAGACATGTGGAATACTGAGAAAAGACCAAACATACATGTAACCTAAATCCTAAAAAGAGAGCGGAGTGGAAGGGGCAGCAGCAGTGTTTTAAAAGAGAACGGCTACCTCTAGGGCCCCAAGCTTAGTTTCTAATGCCATTCTCCAACACATTGAACAGGGGCTCCTTGGAGAAATGGCTGAATTGTAGGGCTGGGGTAGGGAATGAACACAGTGGAGCTTCTGATAGTGCTGGAAAGTAAGGAAGTGCTCAAAGAAACCCACAATAGTAGAGTCAGTGGGACACAGGAATCCACTGAAAGCTCTCAATGGCCAAGCTGGAACAATTAGAACTACAAAATAAATAAAGTAGTATTGAATAATCATCCAAAGTATAAAATATCCATGAGTCCATGTTGAAATAAATGACAGAATACATAAATAAATGGGAGAGGAGAGACAAATTTCCTGTGCTGAAAATTCCAAAGAATTTACGCAGATACGATGCCCTTGAGGAGGTGGGTCATAACTCCCTGCTCTTTCAGTGTGGGCTGCACACGATGATTTCCTCCTAATGAGTACAGGATGAACACGGAGGAAATGAAACCGCCTTTGCAAAATGATGACTGAGACAGTGAAAGAGATCCAACCTAACCGACTCCATCTTGCGTCTAACCTCCAAGCTGCCCTTGTTCATTCCTGGGCGTAGGCTGAACTAACTTGGGGGGAAACTTAATTTATAGTTTAAAACAAAGACGGTAACAGCCCTTTCCCAAAGCAGACCTCCTTCTTGCCGGGGGACTAGACTAACATTAGTCACAAGATTAGAAATGATGGTTTAGGAGCCATGCAGCTGGAGGCTACAAGATTCTGACCCTCCCTACACTGCTCCTAAGATCAGCGCTTGAGATATTTTGCAGACCCTGCACTTGATGGATCAGCTGGCACCACCCAGATGGATAAACTGGCTCATCTGATCTTGTGGCCCCGACCCAGGAACTGACTCAGCACAAGAAGACAGCTGACTCCCTGTGATTCCATCCCTGATCAATCAGCACTCCCGGCTCACTGGCTCTCCACACCCACCAAGCTGTCCTTAAAAACTCTGCTCCCCGAATGCTGGGAGAGACTGATTTGAGTAATAATAAAACTCCGGTCTCCCGCACAGCCGGCTGTGCGTGAATTACTTTTTCTCTATGGCAATTCCCCTGTCATGATGAATCGGCTCTGTCTAGGCAGCGGGCAAGTGAACCCACTGAGCAGTTATAGAAAGAGTAAGTTTATAGTAAAGAAACCTGAGAAGCATTAGCTCAGGCAGGGAGGCAAAGTTCATATGAACAGTAACATGTCATGTTGACAGTATGTACCATTGATATGATATGACGAGAATGGCGTCTTACCTCTGTGATCTTCCTTCCAAAAACCTGTAACCTCAGACTAATCATTAGCAGAAAAATCCCAGTGAAGGAACATTCTACAAAACACCTAACCAGTACTCCTCAAAAAAGTCAAGGTGATGAAAAACAAGAAAGTCTGAGAAACTGTTACCGCCAAGAAGAGCCCAAAGAGACATTTAATGTGGTATCCTAGATAGAATCCTAAAGCAGAAAAAGGACATTAGGAACAAACTAGAAATCAGAACAAAGCTTTATTTGATAACACTGTATCAATATTGTTTCATTAATTATAATAAATGTTCCATACTATGTAGATGTTAACCATAGGGAGTCCGGGTGCGGTAGATGATGCCTGTAACCCCAGTGTTTTGGGAAGCCGAGGCAGGAGGACTGGTTAAGCCCAAGAGGTCAAAGCTGCAGTGAGCCACGGTTGCACCACTGCACTCCAGCGTGGGCGACAGAGCAAGAACTGTCTCAATAGCATAATTACTATTCTTACAGTAACAGGGAAACTGGGTGTGGAGTATACGCTAACTCTGCAACTTTTCTATAAATCTAAAACTATTTTAAAATAAAAACTTGGTTTTTTTATTTTTTTATTTTTTGAGATAGAGTTTCACTCTGTTCCCCAGGCTGGAGTGCAGTGGCGTGATCTCAGCTCACTGCAACCTCCACCTCCCAGGTTCAAGCAATTCTCCTGCCTCAGCCTCCAAGTGGCTGGGGTTACAGGTGTGCACCACCATGCCCGGCTAATTTTTTGTAATTTTAGTAGAGACAGGGTTTCGCCAGGTTGGCCAGGCTGGTCTCGAACTCCTGACCTCAAGTGATCCACCCACCTCGGTCCCCCAAAGGGCTGAGATTACAGGTGGGAGCCACTGCACCTGGCCAAAAACTGTTTTTTTTAAACAAAGGTAATGGCTAAGAATTTTCCCAAACTGATAAAAAAAATCAACCTGGCTGGGTGCAGTGGCTCACACTGGTAATCCCAGGACTTTAGAAGGCCGAGCATGGTGTTGGCACCTATACTCCCAGCTACTCGGGAGGCTGAGGCAGGAGAATCTCTTGAACCTGGGAGGCAGAGCTTGCAGTGAGCCAAGATCGCACCATTGCACTACAGCCTGGGAGACAAAAGCGAAACTCCATCTCAAAAAAAAAACAACAAAAAAATCAATCCATAGATTCAAGAGACTCTGAGTGCTCTAAGCAGAATAAATACAAAGAAAGTAATAGTGGCTAGAGAGGACATACCATCTTAAATTGAATAATAAAACTTACAGCTGACTTCTCAACAGAAACAATGGAAACTAGAAGACAAGGTAAGCACTTATCTACCTACCTACCTACCTACCTATCTGAGGCAGGGTCTCACTCTGTCACCCAGGCTGGAGTACAGTGGCACAATCACGGCTTACTGCAGTCTCAACCTTCCTGGGCTCAAGAGGTCCTCCCACCTCAGTCTCTCAAGTAGCTGGGACCACAGGCGTGTGCCACCATGCCCGGCTAATTTTTGTATTTTTTTGTAGAGACAGAGTTTTGCTGTGTTGCCCAGGCTGGTCTGGAACTCCTGGGCTCAAGTGATCCTCCTGCCTCAGCTTCCCAAAGTGCTGGGATTACAGGTGTGAGCCACCACGCCCGGCCCTGATGGGAAACTTTATAATAGATGGATCCATCTGACAATATCTGAACTCCATGATCAACCTTAACAAAGCAAAAAGAGATGACCAGCTATTTTGTACCTTCTGAGAAGATGCAATAGGATGTATAGAAAACAGTATTTCCCCAACCTCAAACCTATGGCTAATTAAGACTAGATCTAACTACTTATTTTCAAGAAGTACAGGAAATAGAAGACATATTAAACAATACCATAGGTATATAATCAGCAACTGCCAGAATATAGGAAACTCTACAGGACAAACAAACCAATTTCTTCAACAAATAAATGGCAGGAAAAAATAAATAAATAAATAACTGACAGGGCACAGTGGCTCACGCCTGCAATCCCAGCACTTTGGGAGGCCAAGGTGGGTGGATCACCTGAGGTCAGGAGTTGGAGACCAACCTGGCCAACATGGTGAAACCCCATCTCTACTAAAAATACAAAAATTACCTGGGCGTGGTGGTGAGCGCCTGTAATCCCAGCTACTCAGGAGGCTGAGGCAGGAGAATCACTTGAACCCGGCAGGCAGAGGTTGCAGTGAGCCGAGATCATGCCACTGCACTCCAGCCTGGGTGAGGAAGCAAGACTGTCATAAAAATAAAATCAAATGGCAGGATTAAAAGAAGAAAGAGAGAAATGAGGCAGCAAAAACAACACATTGAAGTAAATTTAAAGCCAGATGCTGTGGTGTGCACCTATAGTCCCAGCTACCTGGCAGGCTGAGGTGGGAGGATCACTTGAGCCCAGGAGTTCTAGTCTGTAGTGTGTTATGATCACATCTGTGAATAGCCACTGCACTCCAGCCTGGGCAAGATAGCAAGATCTTACGTCTTAAAAAAAAATCCTAATTTACATATTAACCAAATGCAATGTGTGGACCTTGTTTGAATCTTAATTTGAAAAAATTGTAAAAAGAAAATAATAGGTCTGGCATGGTGGTTCAAGCCTATAAGTCCACCACTTTAGGAGGCCAAGGCTGGTGAATTGCCTGAGCCCAGGAGTTTAAGACCAGACTGGCCAACAGAGTGTGACCCATCTCTGCAAAAAAAAAAAAAAAAAAGAAAGAAAGAAAATTAGCCAGGTGTGGTGGTGCACACCTGCAGTCCCAGCTACTCAGGAGGCTGAGGCAGGAGGATCACTTGAGCCCAGGAGGCCAAGGCTGCAGTGAGTTGTGATAGTGCCATTGCACACCAACCTGGGTGACAAAATGAGACCCTGTCTCTTTAAACAAAAAAAAAAGAAAAGAAAGAAAACACATACATACATATATGAGGCATATCTGAATAATAACAGCATATTTTATGATATTAAGGACTGACAATATTTTAGAGATAATAAAGATATTTTATTTATTTATTTTTGAGACAGAGTCTTACTCTGTCACCCAGGCTGGAGTGCAATGACACGATCTTGGCTCACTGCAACCTCCACCTCCTGCGTTGAAGTGATTCTCCTGCCTCAGCCTCCTGAGTAGCTGGGACTACAAGCGCACGCCATCACACCCGGCTAATTTTTAGTAGAGACGGGGTTTCGCCATGTTGGCCAGGCTGGTCTTGAACTCCTGACCTCAGGTGATCCACCCGCCTCAGCCTCCCAAAGTGCTGAGATTACAGGTGTGACCCATCACACCCGGCCCTTCTCACTCTTGTAAAGGCACTCTTACTGAATTGTCCAAAGGACAGATACCTCATAAGAAATATAGATGACTAAAACAAGAAGGAAAATCCAGCTACTCACAATACTCCTTCACCTCTTTGTTCTCCAATCACTACTTGCACCACCATTTTGTATCGGTCAAATCCCATTTCTAGAAAGAAAAAATAAGGTTATTTATAAGCAAATATGTAGTAAAATTACTTATTGAAGACAAATTTGCCCAGAAATGGACATAAACATTCAATCCACAAGTACTTAATGAATATGGTGGTAAGCTTGGGGGTCAGGAGGACGTGAAGGCAGATCCTAACTATAACTCAGCAAGTGTATAACCTCAGAAAGTAATTTAACTTTTCAGTTTAAGTCTCCCTTATTAAACAGGAATATCAGTACCTACCTCCCAAGATTGTTATAAGGTTAGGTAAGATATAGTAGTATCTTTTTTTTGTTTTGTTTTTGAGATGGATTCTCACTCTGTTGCCCAGGCTGGAGTACAGTGGCACGATCTCAGCTCACCGGCAACCTCTGCCTCCAGGGTTCAAGTGATTCTCCTACCTCAGCCTCCTCAGTAGCTGGGACTACAGGTATGCATCACCACACCTGGCTAATTTTTGTATTTTTAGTAGAAAAGGTGTTTCACCATGTTGCCCAGGCTGGTCTCGAACTCCTGACCTCAGGTGATCCACTCACCTTGGCCTCCCAAAGTGCTGGGATTACAGGCGTGAGCCACCGCGCCCGGTCAGATATAGTAATATCTAAAGCATCTAAACAGTGCTGTTAAATACTAGTCCTTCAATAAACCTTAGCTTCCTTCCTTTTTCCCCTACTATAAGTCAGCTAGTGAGCTGAACCTTCAAGATAGAGAAATAAATAAGACGTTTTTCTTGCCTTAAAGAACTCACAGTAATAAAGAACTCAAAGGAAAATAGAAAAATAGGCCGGGCACGGTGGCTCACGCCTGTAATCCCAGCACTCTCAGAAGGTGAGGCCAGTGGATCACCTGAGGTCAGGAGTTTGAGACAAGCCTGGCCAACATGGTTAAGCCCCGTCTCTACTAAAAAATATAAAAATTAGCCAGGCATGGTGGCAGATCCCTGTAACCCCAGCTACTCGGGAGGCTGAGGCAGGAGAATTGCTTGAACCTGGGAGGCGGAGGTTGCAGTGAGCTGAGATCGCACCATTGCACACTAGCCTGGGTAACAAGAGCAAAACTCCATCTCGAAAAAAAAAAAAAAAAAGAAAATAGAAAAATAAATTATAAATTGAGTATGCTTATAATTCAAGGAGTGGCATGTATGATGTACATCAGGAACACAGAGCCAGTGGGGGCAGTTCCTCTGTTTGTCTGGGCAGTGGCAAGAAATCACTGGAAAAGACTTCTTGGAAGATGTGGCCGGCCAATAAACTGAGTCTTGAGGGCTGAGTAAGAGGGGACCAGGTCAGCCCCATCTCCCCACACGTCCGAGAACGAGGGGCATGTGCACAGCAGGAGAGCATGGGATCTCCAAGAAACTGTAAGCTGTTCAGTAAGACAGACAAGAAAAAAAATGAAGATTCCAGAGCAAAACGAGGTGATCCAGCACCATTTAGCTGTTTACTCCAGAAACTACGTTGCTAAAGCAGCAAAATCCTGAAAATTCTCACTAACACCAAGTCTGAAGAGAAAAAAATGGAATGGGCATTTTTGAATCTTTCTACTTTTTTGACCAAGGAATAGTGGAAAGAGTTTTAAAAAAACAAAAGAAGTGAAATAAGCGAAGCTGAAAGAGCCAGCTCTCTCTGATGAACGTGCAGGTTCCAAGATTACACTGTAAACGGGACAATCTGAAGACTACAGGCAATCTCCCATGTGGGGCATGAACCTGATTCAGAGTGTGTAAAGACAGAGTCCAAGTTATTTTTAAAAAACACTGCACACAACTCAGCTGAGCTTCCTCCTTTCTCTAACCAATCCCAAATTATACAGAAATGTGTCTAGAATAATACTCAGCCCTTAAATCACGGTTCTGAGGGGAAAATAAAATAGTCTCAGATATGGTGGGGAGGGGAACTTAAAAAAAAAACCCACACCATATCAGAGCAATTAAAAATCCCCCACATCATATCAGAGCAATTAAAAATCCCCCACATCATATCAGAGCAATTAAAAATCCCCCACATTATATCAGAGCAATTATGATGTATGGGCACAACAAAATGAAATGCAGCCAAATGGCAATAAACAAAGATGCAATAGCAAAAACAAAAGAGTAACAAAGAAGAACAAAGCTTCTGCTGGGTGCCATGGCTCACGCCTGTAATCCCAGCAATTTTGGAGGCTGAGGCGGGAGGATCTCTTAAGGCCAGAAGTTCAAGACCAGCCTAGGCAGCATGACAAGACCACCATCTCCACAAAACAATTTTTCTTTTTTTCTTTTTTTTGAGATGGAGTTTCACTCTTGTTGCCCAGGCTGAAGTGCAATGGCGTGATCTCAGGTCACCACAAACTCTGCCTCCTGGGTTCAAGCAATCTTCCTGCCTCAGACTCCCGAGTAGCTGGGATTACAGGCATGAACCACCACACTTGGCTACTTTTGTATTTTTAGTAGAGATGGGGTTTCTCCATGTTGGTCAGGTTGTTCTCGAACTCCTGACCTCAGGTGATCCATCTGCCTCGGCCTCCCAAAGTGCTGGGATTACGGACGTGAGCCACCACACCTGGTCCACAAAACAATTTTTCAAAAAATATTGAAGAAAAGAAAGAAACTTCCAGTGGAAGGAAGGAAGAAGGAAGGAAAGAAGGAAGGAAGGAGCTGTGTAAGAGAAAAAATTTGGCTGGGCACGGTGGCCCACACCTGTAATCCCACTTTGGGAGGCTGAGGCGGGTGGATCACTTGAGGTGAGGAGTTTGAGACCAGCCTGAACAACATGGAGAAATCCCATCTCTACTAAAAATACATTAGCAGGGCGTGGTGGTGCACGCCTGTAATCCCAGCTACTTGGGAGGCTGAGCAGGAGAATCGCTTGAACCTGGGAGGTGGAGGTTAAGGTGAGCCAAGATTGCGCCATTGCACTCCAGCTTGTGCAACAAGACCGAAACTCAGTCCAAAAAAAAAAAGAAAAGAAAAGAAAGAAAAAAATCAACCTAGGAAGTAATACAAATCAAGGAACGAAGAGTTATTCCTCACAATTAATTCACAATACTAGAACAATGTAAGCTTATAAACTCAATGAAATAAGTACTCAATCAGGTTATCAAATTTTTTAACTTTTTTTTTGGAGACAGAGTTTCGCTCTTCTGCCCAGGGTGGAGTGCAATGGCAAGATCTAGGCTCACTGCAACCTCCACCTCCCAGATTCAAGCAATTCTCATGCTTCAGCCTCCCAAGTAGTTGGGATTATAGGCATGCGCCATCACGCTCGGCTAATTTTTTTTTTTTTTTGCATTTTTAGTAGAGACGGGATTTCACCATCTTGGTCAGGCTGGTCTCGAACTCCTGACCTCAGGTGATCCACCTACCTCGGCCTCCCAAAGTGCTGGGATTACAGGCGTGAGCCACCGCACCTGGCCAGGTTATGATTTTGTTTGATTTGGTTTGGTTTTTTGAGAGGGAATCTCGCTCTGTCGCTCAGGCTGGAGTGCAGTGGGATGATCTCAACTCACTGCAACCTCCACCTCCTGGGTTCAAGCGATTCTCCCACCTGAGCCTTCTGAGTAGCTGGGATTACAGGCACGCACCACCATACCTGGCTAAATTTTATATTTTAGTAGAGACACGGTTTCACCATGTTGCCCAGGCTGGTCTGGAACTCCTGACCTCAAGTGATCCACCTGCTTCTGCCTCCCAAAGTTCTGGGATTACAGGCGTGAGCCACCTCACCTGGCCTGTTTTGTTTTGTTTTTGTTTTTTTGGAGATAGGGTCTCCCTCTGTCACCCAGGCTGGAATGCAGTGGGGCGATCTCGGCTCACTGCAACCTCCGCCTTCTGGGTTCAAGTGATTCTCCTGCCTCAGCCTCCCAAGTAGCTGGAACCATAGGCGTGCACCACCACGCCTGGCTAATTCTTTGTATTTCAGTAGAGACGAGGTTTCACCATGTTGCCCAGGGTGGTCATGAACTCCTGAGCTCAGGCAATCCACCCGCCTCGGCCTCCCAAAGTGCTGGGATTACAGGTGTGAGCCACGGCACCCAGCCTCAATCAGGTTATTAAGCAACATAAAGAGATGAAAAGAAAGACCACGGCCCTAGGGAACAAACAGAATACCCAGAAAAGATCATTCCAGAACTAATAAATTCAAAATGGCAAGAAAAAAGACACAAATGAAAACAATTACTGGTTTAAGAAAATCACAAGTAAATGGCAATAAAAAAGGAAGAAGCCTGGGCAAAATGGCAAAACCCCGTCTCTACAAAAAATACAAAAATTAGCCGGGTGTGGTGGCAGGCGCCTGTAGTCCCAGCTACTTGGGAGGCGGAGATGGGAGGATTGCTTGAGGCTGCAGTGAGCCAAGACTGCGCCACTGCATTCCAGCCTGGCCAACAGAGTGAGACCCTGTCTCAAAAAAAAAAAAAGAAGAAGAAAGAAATTATGGGAAAGAAAAACTAATAAATATAGAAGACAAAGATGGCTCAACATAACAATATTTGGTGTCCTGAAGAAAAGGAAGTAACGAATGGAATAGGAAACATATTCAGAGATATAAGGAAATTTCCTTTATATGGAAAGAATAAAGTCTGCAGATTGAAAGCTATAAAATGCTCATTAGAAAGTCAGAATCTTTAGAAAAGCTACTGAGCATAAAGGTGAAGATGAGGATTATTTTATTTATTTATTTATTTATTTATTTATTTATTTATTTTGAGACAGAGTCTCGCTCTGTTGCCCAGGCTGGAGTGCACTGGCACGATCCCAGCTCACTGCAACCTCCTTCACCCCCCAGGTTCAAGCAATTCTCCTGTCTCAGCCTCCCAAGAAATCCCAGCACTTTGGGAGGCCGAGACGGGTGGGTCACCTGAGGTCAGGAGTTTGGGACTAGCAAGCCCGGCTAATTTTTGTTTTGTTTTTTTGAGACAGAGTTTCGCCCTTGTTGGCCAGGCTTGAGTGCAATGGTGCAATCTTGGCTCACTGCAACCTCTGCCTCCTGGGTTCAAGCTATTCTCCTGTCTCAGCCTGGGATTACAGGCATGCGCCACCACGCCTGGCTAATTTTGTATCTTTAGTAGAGACAGGGTTTCTCCATGTTGGTCAGCCTGGTTTCGAACTCACAACCTCAAGTGATCCGCCCGCCTCGGCCTCCCTAAGTGCTGGGATTACAGGCGTGAGCCACCATGCCCAGCCCCTAAATTTTGTATTTTTACTAGAGACGGGGTTTCACCATATTGTTCAGGGTGGTCTCAAACTCCTGACCTCAGGTAACTCACCTGTCTTGGCCTCCCAAAGTGCTGGGAATACAGGCGTGAGCCACCACGTCCAGCCAAAGGTGAGGATTCCTTAAGCAGAGAACATCAAGCTGGGCTCAGATTTCTTGACAACAAGTTACCACTGAATGTCAGAGGGCAATGAAGCACAAGGGTCAAGAAAATAAATTATTACCTCAAAACTATGTATATTCTACTTTTGGGGGTGGAGGGGCGGGGGATGGAGTCTCGCTCTGTCGCCCAGGCTGGAGTGCAGTGGCACTATCTCGGCTCACTGCAGACTCTGCCTCCTGGGTTCAAGTGATTCCCCTGCCTCAGCCTCCCAAGTAGCTGGGATTACAGATGCCCACTACCACGCCCGGCTAATTTTTGTATTTTTCGTAGAGACGGGGTTTCACCATGTTGGCAAGGCTGGTCTCAAACTCCTGACCTCGGGTGATCCACCCGGCTCCGCCTCCCACAGTGCCTGGATTGCAGGCGTGAGCCACCGCGCCTGGCCCATAGTATATTCTACTTTAAAGGCAAAAGGCAGGCATTCTCAAACACAAAAGAATCCAGGGAATACGGCATTTCTGAGTCCTTTCTGAAAACAACTTACAACAAAATCTCATCATCTAGGAGTTGAAATAAGGAACTCTTCCCAGCTAATTGAGAGGCTGAGGCAGGAGAATCACTTGAGCCCGGGAGGTTGAGGCTGCAGTGATCTGAAATCACACCGCTGCACTCCAGCCTGGGTGACGAAGACCCTGTCTCAAAAAAAGAAAATAAGGAACTCAACAATGAAAATGACATGGTCAAGGAACTAAACAGGAGGCAACTGATCCAGTTACAGAATGAATATGACATGACTATGGGAAACAGGTCTACAATATCCCATTGTCATTTGTCCATGTATATGGACATGTAGAAGTCTGTTGTAATGTTTGCCTAGTATTAATGATTTTTTTTTTTTTTTTGAGACAGAGTCTCACTCTGTTGCCCAGGTTGCAGCACAGTGGCATAATCTTGGCTCACTGCAATCTCCGTCCCTGGGCTCAGGTGATCCTCCTGCCTCAGCCACCCGAATAGCTGGGACTACAGATGCACACCACCAGCCCGGCTAATTTTTGTATTTTTCTAAGAGACAGGGTTTTGCCATGTTGGCCAGGATGGTCTCGAACTCCTGGGCTCAAGAGATCCGCCCGCCTCAACCTCCAAAAGTGCTGGAATTACAGGCGTGAGCCACTGTGCCTGGCCAATATTAATGATTGTTTATTGGTGGTGGCATTCAGGTGATTTTTCTCATTTTATTTTTCTAGTGTTTAAATTTTGTATAATGAATGTGTACCATTTTTTACAAAAAATCTTAACGATGAACCTTCATTAAAAAGTCTAAAAACAAAAATGCTAATATACTAACAGCAGTTAATTCTGGGTGATAGAAATACACAGGATTGCTATTCTTTGTACTTTTCTGTATTTTTTAATTTCTTAAACTAAAAACAAATTCAGAAAAAAACAATAAACACAAATATTAAATAGTAACTGCCTTTGGTTAATATTTTAAAACTTTAAGGGGCCAGGCACAGTGGCTCACGCCTGTAATTCCACCACTTTGGGAGGCCGAGGCGGACGGATCACCTGAGGTCAGGAGTTCGAGATCAGCCTGACCAACATGGAGAAACCCCGTCTCTACTAAAAACACAAAAATTAGCCGGGCATGGTGGCACTTGCCTGTAATCCCAGCTACTCAGGAGGCTGAGGCAGGAGAATCGCTTGAACCCAGGAGGCGGAGATTGCAGTGAGCCAAGATCATGCCATTGGACTCCAGCCTGGGCAACAACAGCAAAACTCCATCTCAAAAAAAAACCTTATGGATACTTTTTTGTATTGTCTAGGTTTATTACAACGAGCATGTATTACTTTTATGAAGATATTCTTTCTCTTCAAAAAATGATGTCTTCTAAGAAGAGCAGATGGAAATAGGCCGGGCACGGTGGCTCACATCTGTAATCCCAGCATGTTGGGAGGCCAAGGCTTGCAGATCTCTTGAGGGTCAGGAGTTCAAGACAAAATTAGCCACGTGTGGTGGCGCATGCTTGAAATTCCAACTGCTTGGGAGGCTGAGGCGGGAGGATCACTTGAGCCCAGGAGGAGGAGGTTGCAGTGAGCTGAGATCACACCACTGCACTCCAGCCTGGGAAACAGAGCGAGACTCTGTCTCAAAAAGAAAAAAAAAAAAAAAAAGAACTTTTCAGATCAGACGGTATAACATTATTAACAAAAGAGAGAGACCAGGCGCAGTGGCTCACACCTGCAATCCCAGCAGTTTGCGAGGCCTAGGTGGGAGAATCACTTGAGGCCAGGAGCTCAAGATCAGCCAGGGCAACATGGCAAGACACCATCTCTACAGAAAAATTTAAAAATTAAAAAATTAGCCAAGCACGGTGGCACAAGCCTGTAGACCCAGCTACTTGGGAGGCTGAGATGGGAGGATCGCTTGAGCCAGGAGGTCAAGGCTGCAGTGAGCCATGTTCACACCACTGCACTCCACCCTGGACAAAACAGCAAGACCCTATTTCAAAAACAAAACAAAACAAAAAAAAACAAAACAATCAGAGAGACAAAGAGAACAGGGTAGGAAAAGCACAAAATATGCTCTACAGATGTAGTTTGGTAGGGGTCGAGGGTTGAGTAAGGGAAGTAGCTAAGGATTAGGGAGGAGAGATGGACTGCAGGTACTAAATGCCAGGCTGAGGACTTGACAGCTTGGGGGAAGAAACAACCAAGAAATACAGGGGAAAGGAGTCCCTGTACTTTCTGGTCTTTCTGAATACTAAGATTTTTTGGACAGTGTTTTATTTCACATCTTCACTCTTTTCCCCCATCTGCAAAAACTTACATGAGTAAAAGTCACCAAATAATTAGAGAAGACAAGACACTGAAGAAAAAGTTGTCTTTAATAGAATCCACAGCTAACATTCTATTTACGTTTTTTTAATAGAGATGTTTTATTTTTTTATTTTGCTTTTTTTTTTTTTTGAGACAGAGTCTCACTCTGTCACCCAGGCTGGAGTGCAGTGACGCGATCTCAGCTCACTGCAACCTCCACCTCCTGGGTTCAAGTGATTCTCCTGCCTCAGCCTCCCAAGCAGCTGGGACTGCAGGCGTGTGCCACCACACCCAGCTATTTTTTGTATTTTTAGTAGAGACAGGGTTTCATCGTGTTAGCCAGGATGGTCTCAATCTCCTGACCTCGTGATCCACCCGCCTCAGCCTCCCAAAGTGCTGCGATTACAGGCGTGAGCCACTGCGCCCGGCCTTTATTTTGCTTTTTAATACACATGAGGTCGGCTGGGCGCGGTGGCTCATGTCTGTAATCCCAGCACCTTGAGAGGCCGAGGCGGGTGGATTACCTGAGGTCAGGAGTTTGAGACCAGCCTGACCAACATGGAGAAACCCCGTCTCTACTAAAAATACAAAATTAGCCAGGCGTGATGGTGCATGCCTGTAATCCCAACTACTCAGGAGGCTGAGGCAGAAGAATCACTTGAACCCGGGAGGCGGAGTTTGCAGTGAGCCAAGATCATGCCATTGCACTCCAGCCTGGGCAACAAGAGTGAAACTCCATCTCAAAAAAAAGAAAAATAGACATGAGGCCTCACCATGTTGCCTAGGCTGGTACTGAACTCCAGAGCTCAAGCAATCTTCCTGCCTTGGCATGCTAAAGTGTTGGGATTGTAGGCGTGAGCCACCACACCTGGCCCCAATGTCCTTTGTTTAAAGATGGAGAGGGGGCAAATGGGTAATACTGACTCTGTGAAGAGAATGAGTCATTTCCAGTTATCACCATGATTACCTTTTAATTTATCTTTAATGTTTTCTGATAAATGTTTTGTAAGCTGAGGCATTTCTTCTGGAGAATATTCAGCATTTGCCAGTTCCTCCTTGAGCACAGCATGGATACAGTCTTTAACCACAGAGGGCCTGAACCTGAATGGAACAATTTGTGAACATCCAGTCGGTGACTCCACAACCCCAGCTTACCTTCATACCGCAACTTCTCCCATCTTTTTGTCATTAGTACCACTTAATCCTTCTTTTTCATATTTTTTATTATAAAATATAAACAAATTAAGACAAATCATAGGCCACATGTGTATCTTCAACCTGGACCTGCACTGAACTTCAACACATTCCAACTCATGCTCCATATGAATGTTTATTAGGCAACTCAATACATCCAATAATGAGCTTCTCATACTCCCCTCTCCCCCAAAACAAAATATATACTTGTTGTTAATTTTGTTCTGCACGCTTTCACAAAATAAAATAAAATAAAATAAAATAAAAAAATACGGCTGAATGGCATTCTGGGCATTCAGAACCTTTTACCAAGATAACTGAGGGTATCTTTCTCTGTGTTCATTCTACCCAAGGGAAAAATCCTGTATGAAATTTGTATCACTTTTTCTGTGAGTTACCAAGAGAATAAAAATAAACAAAGAAATTTGTATCACATTATAATCAAAATTCCTGTTTTCCATATTTGCCAAGCAAATATGGGGTGTGTGTGTGTGTGTAAAGTTAGTGATCTTACAAACCTAGCTGAGTACCCTCTGCTCTGGCCCGTGAGCCTGACATTTTTTTCAGTGTGTGTGTGTGTGTGTTGTGTGGTGTGTGTGTGTGTTGTGTGGTGTGTGTGTGTGTGTGTAAAGTTAGTGATCTCACAAACCTAGCTGAGTACCCTCTGCTCTGGCCCGTGAGCCTGACATTTTTTTCAGTGTGTGTGTGTGTGTGTGTGTGTTGTGTGGTGTGTGTGTGGTGTGTGTGTGTGTGTGTGTGTGTGTAAAGTTAGTGATCTTACAAACCTGAGTACCCTCTGCTCTGGCCCGTGAGCCTGACATTTTTTTTCAGTGTGTGTGTGTGTGTGTGTGTGTGTGTTGTGTGTGTGTGTGTAAAGTTAGTGATCTTACAAACCTAGCTGAGTACCCTCTGCTCTGGCCCGTGAGCCTGACATTTTTTTTCAGTGTGTGTGTGTGTTGTGTGTGTGTGTGTGTGTAAAGTTAGTGATCTTACAAACCTAGCTGAGTACCCTCTGCTCTGGCCCGTGAGCCTGATATTTTTTTCAGTGTGTGTGTGTGTGTGTGTGTGTGTGTGTGTAAAGTTAGTGATCTCACAAACCTAGCTGAGTACCCTCTGCTCTGGCCCGTGAGCCTGATATTTTTTTCAGTGTGTGTGTGTGTGTGTGTGTGTGTGTGTAAAGTTAGTGATCTCACAAACCTAGCTGAGTACCCTCTGCTCTGGCCCGTGAGCCTTAATCCTAGCGAGGGCTCGCTGCGGTGGTCTAAGGGCCTCCAGATCCCACCCGGGTAGGACTTCGCACAGATGCAGCTCCCGCGCCGGGAGTGAGCCCATCCTGGCACCCGTGTGCACAGTCACCCTCGAATCACGGCTGAACGGCATCCGACGCGAGTGGCTTCCTGCCTCTATTCTACCCATCTCCTTACTCAGGACGCCATCGCGGGTTTCCCAGGGCCAACCATTCCCGCCGCGCCACCCTAAGACGCGCCCGGCGCCCAAACACTGAGGAAGCGGGTGGGGTCCCCTGCGGCCCCTGCAGCGGGAGGGGCGCCCGGACGTCACAGCAGGGCCGCCCGCCCGCCTCGCGGCCTCCCGCCTCCCGCCCCGCGGACCCCGCGCGTCCCCCGCGCTCCTTCCGTGGCCCAGGTCCCAGGCGAGCTCCGCCCCTCAGACCAGCGCGCTCGAGGTCGCCCCGCCACAGCCCGTCCTCTACCCGCCTCTGCTGGAAAACAGGCCGCAGAATATAGGTGTTCTCGGGCTCCCCTGCGTTCTTCTCAGCCTCAGGCACCCCGTCGCCCACCGAGAAGGACACTCCGATGGACGTGGCCATGCCGGGGCTTCTCGGTCCGGGCGTAGCTCGCGATGAAGGCCTAGCGGGTTGCGGTCGCGGCCGGCAGCAGGGAAAGCGTCTCCAGGGCAACAGGGCCGCCCTCCCGCCTCGCTGAAGCCCGCGAGCGCCCCGCACAGCCGCCCTCCCTGCCCGCGCCTGCGCACCGGCTGCTGGGCGGGAACTGGTCGCGTCCGGACGCGCGACAGCTTCCACCCGCCTCAGGCAGTATCAGCCGCGCCGCAGTCGGAGGAAATAGACGCGGGGCCTGAGGCTCCTGGACTTGAGGTATTAGGCTGGTGCAGAAGTAATTGCGGCGGCCGGGTGCGGGGGCTCAGGCCTGCAATCCCAGCACTTTGGGAGGCCGAGGCGGGCGGATCACCTGAGTCAGGAAGAGTTCAAGACCATCCTGGCCGACATGGTGAAACCCCATCTCTACTGAAAATACAAAAATTAGCCGGGCGTGGTGGCGCGTGCCTGTAACCCCAGCTGCTCTGGAGGCTGAGGCAGAATAATCTATTGAACCCAGGAGGCCGAGGTTGCAGTGAGCCGAGATCGCGCCACTGCACTCCAGCCTGGCGACAGAGCGAGACTGCGTCTCAAAAAAAGAAAAAAAAAAAAAAAGGAAGGAAGGAAAGAGACTTAGGCTGCATTCCCCGCTTTTAAAAATATATATTTATTTTTATTTTTTTAAACGAAGTCTCGCTCTGTCACTCAGGCTGGAGTGCAGAGGCGCGATCTCGGCTCACTGCAACCTCCACCTCCCAGGTTCAAGCAATTCTGCCTCAGCCTCCCAAGCAGCAGGGATTACAGGCGCGCCCCACCACGACCGGCTAATTTTTTTTGTATTTTTATTAGAGACGGGGTTTCACCATATTGGCCAGGCTGGTCTCCAACTCCTGACCTCAGGTGATCGCCCACCTCGGTCTCCCGAAGTGCTGGGATGACAGGCGTGAGCCATCGTACTCTGCCGCATTCCCTGCTTATAAGCACCAGTCCCTGGTCCTGTTTTAGAAGGCTGTTGTATCTTGGCCTCTGCTAGCTTCAAAAACTAAGGCCCGATGAGGTAGCTCGTGCCTGTAATCCCTGTTTACAGGAGAGGCTGAAAGGGCAGGGATTCCTTTTTTTTTTTTTCCCACTTGAGACAGGGTCTTGCTCTGTTTCTCAGGCTGGAGTGCAGTGGCACACTCACCGCTCACTTCAGCCTCGACCTCTTGGACTCAAGCAGTCCTCCCACCTCAGCCTCTGGAGTACCTGGAACTACAGGCGAATGCCACCGCGCGTGGCTAATCTTTTTAATTTTTGTAGAGATAGGATCTGGCTATGCTGCCCAGGCTACTATTGAACTCTTGGGCTCAAGTGATTATCCCACCTCAGCCTTCCGAAGTGCTGGGACTACAGGCATGAGCCATCACAGCCAGCTGGGATATTGTTTTTCGAATCGCTGTCATGTTCTGTACTATATGCAGTTCCTGAAAGAATGGAGGCAAGAAGGAGTCAGCTAACCACTGTGAACTGTCTTAGTGCCAAGGACCCACCCTTCTCTCCTTGGGGTCCTGCTGACCCATCAGAATAGGGCTGAGCCAGGATGGGGCTTGTGGAGATGATGTGTATGAGTGTGCATGCACTTGTGTGTGCATGCCTAACATCCAAAACTAGATATAAATTCTTTAAACTTTTCATTAGTTGGCCAGGCACGGTGACTCGCACCTGTGATCCCAGCACTTTGGGAGGCCGAGGCGGGCGGATCATGAGGTTAGGAGATCAAGACCATCCTGGCTAACATTGTGAAACCCGGTCTCTACTAAAAATACAAAAATTAGCTGGGTGTGGTGGCATGTGCCTGTAATCCCAGCTACTTGGGAGGCTGAGGCAGGAGAATTGCTTGAACCAGGGAGTCGGAGCTTGCAGTGAGCCGAGATCACACCACTGCACTCCAGCATGAGACTCTGTATCAAAAAAAAAAAAAAAAAAAAAAATTCTGCGTGAGTTGTGTGGAGGTGTCAGTACCTTTCCCCAGCAAGAGAAGCTTCTCCATATCAGGCATATCCTAGCCATGACCCTGAAACTAACCAGCCAAGAGGGAAATGTGAGACAAGCCCAGGCAAGCTTCCTGGATGTTGTATGCAGGAATAGGATGTGCTCTCTGGACTTGGAGACTTCCTGCCTGCTCAAGAGGCTGTGCCTCCTTGTGTCTCCCACAGGCCTCTGTGTCCACCTTCCCCACCCTGGCAGGCCTGCTAGGCCAGCAGCCCTGGAGAGGAAAGGGTGAGGTGGTGTTTGAAGGGACCT
Source organism: Homo sapiens (assembly GCF_000001405.40). Classification (NCBI taxonomy): domain Eukaryota; kingdom Metazoa; phylum Chordata; class Mammalia; order Primates; family Hominidae; genus Homo; species Homo sapiens. The sequence goes on from NC_000003.12 coordinate 196,320,442, forward strand.
GCCTCCTACGAGCTCTGCTGGTTGGACTGTCGGATGACAGAACCGTGCCTCTGAGCCTGGGAGAGGGAGGCACCCCTGTGTTCTGGAAGCCCCCAGTGCTTCAGCAACTCCTCACTGAGGCAGAATAGTGGAGGAATCAAGCTGGGATCCAGGGGACTGAGGAGGGGATAGAGCAGCACCTGGGCCCCACATTCCCTTCCAACAGAGCCTGGGGTGCTGTGTTTCCGGGAGGGTTTTTTTTGTTTTTTGTTTTCCCGAGACAGAATCTCGCTCTGACCCCCAGCCTGGAGTGCAGTGGCATGATCTCGGCTCACTGCAACCTCCGCCTCTCGGGTTCAAGCAATTCTCCTGCCTCAGCCTCCCGAGTAGCTGGGATTACAGGTGCACACCACCACACCTGGCTAATTTTTGTATTTTTTATAGAGACGGGGTTTCACCATGTTGGCTAGGCTGGTCGTGAACTTCTGACCTCATGATCTGCCTGCCTCAGACTCCTAAAGTGCTGGGATTACAGGTGTGAGCCACTGCACCCGGCCTCTTTTTTTTTTTTTTTTTTTTTTTTTGTGAGACAGAGTCTCTGTCCCCCAGGCTGGAGTTCAGTGGTGCAATCTCGGCTCACTGCAACCTCTGTCTCCTGGTTTCAAGCAATTCTCCTGCTTCAGCCTCTGAATAGCTGGGATTACCGACATGCACCACCACGCCCATATAATTTTTGTATTTTTTGTAGAGCTGAAGTTTCACTATGTTGGCCAGGCTGGTCTCAAACTCCTGACTTCTGGTGATCCACCCACCGTGGCCTCCCAAAGTGCTGGGATTGCAGGTGTGAGCCACCGTGCCCGGCCAGAGCCTGGGGTTCTCAAACTCGTTTCTGGGGACCGCCCACCACTTTTCTTGCCAGTGCCCATCTTCCAGGTTCCTCCCAGGCTGCTTCTGCCTGCCTTGTCCTCTTCCTGCCTGTCACACCACACTCTCCCACCAGCATCTTCCTCATTCCGCTCTGACTCTCCTCACCACCCAGCCCGACCTGACTGAAAACCCCGCAGTGGGAGAGCAGGAGGCCCCTGCTTCTAGGTGCCGTGTGAGAAGCAGCTGTGAGGTCGGGTTGGGTGGCTCACGCCTGTAATCCCAGCACTTTGGGAGGCCGAGGTGGGCGGGTCACAAGGTCAGGAGTTCAAGACCAGCCTGGCCAATATGGTGAAAACCCATCTCTACTAAAAGTACAAAAAAAATAGCCAGGTGTGGTGGCGGGTGCCTGTAATCCCAGCCACTCAGGAGGCTGAAGCAGGAGAATCGCTTGAACTTGGGAGGCAGAGGGTGCAGTGAGCCGAGATCATGCCACTGCACTCCAGCCTGGGCAACAGAGCGAGACTCCATAAAAAAGAAAAAGAGATTTAATTGGCTCACAGTTCTGCAGGGGTTACAGGAAGCATAGCACCCACATCACTCAGCTTCTGGGGAGGCCTCAGAGAGCTTTTACTCATGGCAGCAGGTGAAGAGGGAGCAGGCGAGTCACATAGTGAGAGCAGGAGCAGGCGAGAGAGAGGCCAGAGGTGCCACACGCTTCTAAATGACCAGATCTCGCGGGAACCCACTATCACAAAGACAGCTCTGAGCCGTGAGGGATCCGCCTCATGATCCACACACCTTCTGCCAGGCCCCACCTCTAGCACTGGGGATCACAATTCAACATGAGATTTGGGTGAGGACAGATATCCAAACTGTGTGGACAGAGGTGATGCTCCTCTACTTGTTGAACTCTTGAACACTAGTGAAGAGAATGCTGGTGTATTAGTCTGCCAGGCTGCTGTTGCAGAATACCATGAACTGGGCACTTAAGCAACTGAAATAGATTTTCTCACAGTGCTGGAGGCTAGAAGTCCAAGATCCAGGTGCCAGCAGGTTTGGTATCTCCTGAGGCCTCGCCCCTGCGCTTGCAGACAGCCGCCTTCTCACTGGGTCCTTACAGGGCCTTTTTCTTTGAGCCAGTGTAGAGAGCTCTGTTCTTTCTTCCTCTTTTTATAAGCACACCAGTCCTATTTAATTAGGGTCCCACCCTATGGCCTCATTTAATCATTTGTTGTTGTGTTTTTTTTTTTTGAGACGAGGTCTCACTGTGTTGCCCAGGTTAGTCTCAAACCCCTGGTCACAAGTGATCTTCCCACATTGGCCTCCCAAAGTGCTCAGATTACAGGTGTGAGCCATTGCGCCCAGTCTCATTTAACCTTAATTACTAATTTAAAGGTGCCATCATGGCCAGGCGCGGTGGCTCACACCTGTAATCCCAGCACTTTTGGAGGCCAAGGTGGGCGGATCACTTGCAGCCAGGAGTTCGAGACCAGCCTGGCCAACATGGTGAAACCCCCGTCTCTACTAAAAATACAAAAATTAGCTGGGTGTGGTGGCACATGCCTGTAATCCCAGCTACTCAGGAGGCTGAGGCAGGAGAATCACTTGAACCTGGGAGGTGGAGGTTGCAGTGAGCCGAGATCACGCCACTGCACTCCAGCCTGGGTGACAGAGCGAGACTGTCTCAAAAAAAAAAAAAAAAAGTGCCACCACCAAAGACTGTCATATTGGGGGTTAGGGCTTCAACCTACAGATTTGGAGGAAACACTATTTAGTCCACAATAACTGGAGAAGTTGAATTTAGAAGATGGGGGTTGGGGCCAGGCACAGTGACTCATGCCTGTAATCCAGCGCTTTGGGAGACCAAGGTGGGAGGATCACTTGAGGTCAGGAGTTCAAGACCAGACTGGGCAATATAGCGAGACTCCCTCTCTACAGAAAATTTAAAAATTAGCCAGGTGTAGTGGTGTGTGCCTGTAGTCCCAGCTACTCGGAGGCTAAGGCAGGAGGATCGCTTGAGTGCATGGGTTGTAGGTTACAGTAAGCTATGATTGTGCCACTGTACTCCAGACAGGGGAACAGAGCAAGACCCTGTCTCAGCAACAACAAAACAACAGGGAGATAGGGGGTCAGGTGCTGACTTCACCTTAACTTCACTGTGTGCTTTTACAGCAAGCCTGTTACCCTCTGTGAGCCTCAACTTCTCTATGTGTAACAAATGGCCAACTTTATGGGATTGTCAAGAAGCTGAAATGAGACCCTGGCTGGAGGATATTTTATGGACTATAAATTCCTAAACAATTATAATAACTTAGTTATTTATCCTATCCATGGATCACCTGGAAGTTTACAATGTGATTTAAAATGCATTCTATCATTCCACCGACCTGCAGTGAATTTTGTTGTCATTATTACTCCAGGGATACCTAAAGGGGAAGTTTGTTTATAATTCGTACCCACTCCTTGTAGAAAGGATTCAAGACAGCCGATGATGAAAACACCCATGCTTGCAAGTGAAGGTTCTGCCTGTCACTTCTCGCAGAGGCTGCAGAAAAGGCCCAGGAGGCTGTTGATGACATGAACGACCACCAGGAGAAGCTGGAGCAGGCTGATGCACAGAAGGGCGGAGAAGAGGGACACGTGCCAGACAACAGCTGCAGAGGGCTCCAGGCAGACGGAGTTCCAGAGCGAACGGTCATACAGATAATTCCTATCCCAAAAAATAAGGAGACCAGGGGTCAGGCGATAAGTAAGGAAAGCCAAACAGGCAACCCCAGTAGAAAACTGGGGTCTCCCCTGACCGGGTCATGGGACTGGGCTCATGAGGGTGACCGTTACTGCTCCATTTGCAATTTTCTGAGTATCAGAGGAGCAAGATGCTAGGATGTGTGACCCAAAGGAGCTTGTAGTTCGTCTGTGTGTCTTTTTGTCTCTCTCTCTCTCTCTGTCTGAAAAGACCAAGCCCAAGCCTCCACCCATTTACCTACTATGCAGGTCTTTGAATGGGTAACCATATTTCCAAGCTTGTGTCTGATTGAAGGATGAAACATCAAACATGCAAAAAGGACCATCTTTCAGAGCAACTCCAGAAGTGACAAAGCAAATCAGGGCTCCAAGTAAAGCCAGGCCACCTGACAACAGAGCAGTAAGCACCTGCGGAGGGAGGAGAAACACTGAGCTAAGACGGGGTCGCAGCTGGGGAGCCTGCGGAGGGAGGAGAAACGCTGAGCTAAGACGGGGTCGCAGCTGGGGAGTCTGTGGGGCGGTCTGCACAGGTCTGACTTCTCTGGTCTCAGTGTTCTTCCGTCCTGTCATGGGGGAGAATTCTGTCCATGGCACCCCCTTTGAAGCATAACCCATGGTGGGGAGGCCGTGAGGGGTTTCTAGGAGAGAAAGGACCAAGAAGCAGAATCGCAGGCCCCGGATCTCCCTGACCGTGAGTTCGCCTGAGCTGCTCAGCAGCTTGGCATCACAAACCTTTTGCACATTACAGCCATTCAGCCTCTGAGCTAAAGAAGAAGCTACCACAGGCCCACCACTGACTCTTCTAAGGAAAAGCTGCATTTTCAAAAGTTCCAGGTTCCCAACTCTGATTCTTCTCTATTTCAAATCAAGGATAAAAAAAAGGAAGGGAGGGAAGGAAGGAAAGAAAGAAGCAGGAAAGAAGGGAAGGAGAGAAGTGGGAGGGAGGGAAAGAAGGGAGAGAAACAGCGAGAGAGAAGCTGCAGCCAAGCTCTGAAATGACTCCACTTCTGTCGCTGTGTTTCTCCAGCTGAGAGCTTTCTTGGCCATCAGTCTGTGCTCCCACTGCCCTCCCAGAAAATAACTGGGTTTCCTTCCTTGACAGGTTTCTAGCCTGCTTCTACATTGGCTTCTTTCTCGTTCCTTCCTTCCTTCCCTTCCTTCCTTCTTTCTCTCTCTCTCTTTCTTTTTGAGACAGAGTCTCACTCTGTCGCCCAGGCTGGAGTGCAGTGGCACGATCTCAGCTCACTGCAACCTCTGCCTCTGAGTTCAAGCGATTCTCCTGCCTCAGCCTCCCAAGTAGCTGGGACTACAAGCATGCGCCACCACACCCAGCTAATTTTTGTATTTTTAGTAGAAATGGGGTTTCACTGTGTTGGTCATGCCGGTCTCAATCTCCTGACCTTGTGATCCACCTGCTTCAGCCTCCCAAAGTGCTGGGATTACAGGCATGAGCCACCGTGCCCGGCCCATATTGGATTCTTTCTTAGGGTTCTAGATTTTTTTCTCCCTCCCCCAAAAATGCCTATTTTAAAAATGTGAATAACACCTACATAGCGTTTTTCTGCAGAGTCATGGAGTCATTCTCCCACTGAGGTCAAGCTGGTTTGGAGTTGGGGAGGGATCAGACAAAGGTGCATAGTAAGTTTTGACTCTGAGTTAAAGGAGTCAAGATGAATCAGTAAGCCTAGGGCAGTGGTTCCCAAAATGGGGTCCCTGCCCAGCCGCATCACATCACCTGAGAACCTGTTAGAAATGCAAAACTTCCCCGCCATCCTGAATCAGAAACTCTGGGGAGGGAGCCCAGCAATCCGTGTTCCGGCAAAAGCCCTCCAGGTGATTCTCATGCACATTCAAGTGTCAGAACTACGTGCCACGGGGAAAACCAGAATGAGAACAGACAGTGAATGAAATGTGCAAGTGTTTATTTATTTATCTATGTACTTATTTATTTATTTATTTTGAAACGGAGTCTCGCTCTGTCGCCCAGGCTGGAGTGCAGTGGCGCCATCTCGGCTCACTGCAAGCTCCGCCTCCCGGGTTCAAGAGATTTTCCTGCCTCAGCCTCCTGAGTTGCTGGGATTACAGGCGCCCACCACCACGCCCAGCTAATTTTTGTATTTTTGGTAGAGACGGGGTTTCACCATGTTGGCCAGGCTGGTCTCAAACTCCTGACCTCAGGTGATCCGCCCATCTTGGCCTCCCAAAGTGCTGGGATTACAGGCGTGAGCCACCGCGCCTGGCCTATATTTGATTTTTTAACATGTAACTGAGTCAGTGGGCTTCCCAACATGTGGGCTGCAGATATCAGAGCAGGCTGTGGAGTTACCATAAGGCCACAGATTCATGTCTGAGAACGAGTGTGTGTGTGTGTGTGTGTGTGTGTTTGTTACACACACATATACTGAGATCTTTCAAGTTTATACAGTTGCTGCTGTAATTAATAAGGTAGAAATTTATTCTGGGCCTCAGTTTATCTGTAAAATGGAGGGGTTAGATTAGAATCTAGTGATTAGATGATCTCTGGAAAACTTTCCTGTTCTAAGAAAATATTAGTTAAAATAACTAGGAAAATTTCCATCAATGACACATGATTACAGTGTCATAACTCATGTCCATATTGTCCAACACCCTAAGAGAGTAACAGTTTCTCACACTGGTACAGACGTCTGGGTCCTCACACTGGTACAGACGTCTGGGCTTCACTAAGCACTACTCCCTTGACTTGATCAGCTCCCATTTTACAGATGAAAGCCTGAAACTGGAAAGATGAAGCAACTTGCCCAAGAACTTAGCGTTACTGAGGGTCACAGTGAGGACCTGACTTCAGGCCCCAAGACCAAAATTGCCTCTTTACCGCCCTGCCTCTAGAGTAATAGAGGTGGAGACATTCTGGGTGTTAGAAGAGTGGAATCTGGTGCTTACGCTTCGACAGAGCCCACTCTTACTGAAGCAGCCGTATCTCCAGCCCATCAAGGAGATGAGGATAGCTGCAGTGAGTACCTGCAGGAGAGAGAAGAATGTTGAGATGGGGAAATCGACTTTGCCGGCTGTTTCTAGGTGCTGCCCACAGCTGTTAGAGTGGCTGGCAGCTCACATGAACGCAGTCCTGTTGACTCTGACTCTGGGGACCCACATTTGTATGACGAGCCTGATCTAACGCTGTGGATGTTAACTTTCACACCCGACCTGCCTGGTCCCAAGCTAGGCTTCCTGTCTCTTAGAGCTTCTACAGACCCAAGATCAGCTTGTTAGAATAAACTTTTCTGCAAGGAATCAAAACACTCTTCCCATGCCACCTTCCTGCTCCCCGCCGGGGTCTCTTTGAGAGTTCACGTTCAGGGAACCCCGGACACTTACCATGAGGCCTCCTCCCCAGAGCCCAGTTCCCAGCATGGCATGCCTGCCAAGGAGGCCCCTCAACAGGTAGGTGACATCCCAGTTAGGAAGGAGGAGTGCCACGTTGGCCCCAGCAGCAAACAGGGCTGCAGTCCCAAGGCTCAGTCCCAGGATACGGGAGCAAGTCCGTGAGCTTGCCTGCGTGCAGGGAGAGGACACCATCCTGGAACAGATAGAAAGGGAGTCGCAGCAGCTCTGCTGTGGGGGGATGGGGAAGGGAACTCCAGCAGCATATCATGGGTGAGGGAAACAGACTACAGAAACCGCCACCTTCCAGGGTCAGACCAATGAGAGCCAAGCAACCTGCTTAAAAACTCTGCTCCTTAGGAATCTTCCCCAGTGACTAGGATTTAATTGTTTCCTTTTCTGCTAACCCCTGTTCACACATACATAGTTTGCATTCCATCATATTTTGTTTATGCCTCTATTACAGCCAGTGATTATTTCTGACAAAAAGAAATGTTTAAAGGTGTCTTCATGATGTCCATTGTCTCCACTTCTATTCAACGTTGTACTGGTCCTGGCCAGTGCAATACGAAAATAAAAGGAAGCAAAAGCCACACAGATAGGAAAGAAAGAAGTAATATTGTCGGCCAGGCATGGTGGCTCAGGCCTGTAATCCCAGCACTTTGGGAGGCTGAGGCAGGCGGATCACGAGGTCAGGAGTTCAAGACCAGCCTGGCCAACATGGTGAAACCCCGTCTCTACTAAAAATACAAAAATTAGCTGGGCACGGTGGTGGGTGCCTGTAATCCCAGCTACTGGGGAGACTGAGGCAGGAGAATTGCTTGAACCCGGGAGGCAGAGGTTGCAGTGAGCTGAGATCATGCCACTGCACTCCAGCCTGGGTGACACAGCAAGACTCCATCTTAAAAAAAAAAAAAAGTAACATTGTTATTATTCACAGATAATGTGATCACATTATGTAGAAAATCCTAAAGTTTATTAGAATTAACAGGTGAGTTTAGCAACGTCATAGAATAAAAGATTAATATACAAAAATTATATTGTATTTCTATATACAAGCAATGACAAATTGAGGATTGAAATTAAAATATATCATTTACAATAGCATAAAAATATAATACATATGGATGAATTTAACAAAATATTTGCAAGACCTATATAGTAAGAATTGCAAAGCATTGCTGAGAAAATTAATGGAGACCTAAATAAATGGAGACATATACCATGTTCCTGAACCAGAAGACTCAAAATAGTTAACATGTTCTCCCTAAATTGATGCAAAGATTTAAAGCAATATCAGTCAAAATCCTAGGAGAGTTTTGTTATAGAAATTGACAAACTGAATCTAAATTTATATGGAAATGCAAAGCAATTGTGAAGATTAGCCAAAGCAATTCTGAAAAACAAACAAAGCTGGAGAACTTACGCCATGTGATTTCAAGACTTACAAAGCTACAGTAATTGAAGACACTGAAGCCACGCGTAAGGAAACACATATGGACTACTGGAACAGGCTGGAGCTCAGAAACAGACCCGGTCCAGGAAAAATGATTTTTTTTTTTTCTTGAGACGGAGTCTCGCTCTGTTGCTCAGGCTGGAGTGCAGTGGCGCGATCTCAGCTCACTGCAACCTCTGCCTCCCAGGTTCAAGCGATTCTCCTGCCTCAGCCTCCCAAGTAGCTGGGATTACAGGTGCCCGCCACCATGCCCGGTAATTTTTTGTATTTTTAGTAGAGACGGGGTTTCACCGTGTTAGCCAGGACGGTCTTGATCTCCTGACCTCGTGATCCGCCTGTCTCGGGCTCCCAAAGTGCTGGGATTACAGGCATGAGCCACCGCGCCCGGCCAATAAATGATTTTTTAAGAAGATGACAATTCAGCGGGAAAAAGTCTCTTCCACAAATGGTGCCGGAACAATGCACATGCAAAACAAAACTGCCTTCACTATTACTTCACAACATATTCAAAAATTCACTTGAAATGGAGCATGGGTCTAAAAGCTTTATAAAATTTCTAGAATAAAACAAAGGAGAAAAACACTGGGACCTTGGGTTAGATAAAGGTTTCTTACTAAAATGCAAAAAGTACAATCCACAAAACATGATTAATCAGACTGCTTAAAAATTTAAATGTCAGCTGGGTGCTTGCCTATAATCCCAGCTACTCGGAGGTTGAGGCAGGAAAATCGCTTGAACCCAGGAGGCAGAGGCTGCAGTGAGCTGAGATCGCGCCACTGCACTTCAGCCTGGGCGACAAGAGCAAGCGACTCCATCTAAAAAAAAAAAATCATGCTAAAAGAAATAAGCCAGACACTAAAGGACAAATATTGTATGATTCCACTTATATGAAATATTCAAAATAACAACTTTATAGAGAAAGAAAGTAGACTGGAGGTTATCAGGGACTGTGGGGAGGGAGGAGAGAATGGGGAGTTATTGTTTAATGGTTACAGAGGTTTTCAGGTTTTGTTTTGTGTTGTTTTGTTTTTTTTTTTTGAGACAGAGTCTTGCTCTGTCAGCCAGGCTGGAGTGCAGTGGCGCAATCTCAGCTCACTGCAACCTCTGCCTCCTGGGCTCAAGCAATTCTCCTGCCTCAGCCTCCCAAGTAGCTGGGACTACAGGCATGTGCCACCACGCCTGGCTAATTTTTGTATTTTTAGTAGAGACAGGGTTTCACTATGTTGGCCAGGCTGGTCTTGAACTCCTGACCTCAGGTGATCTGCCCGCCTCGGCCTCCCACCGCGCGCGGTGGTTTTGGGGTTTTTTTAGAGATGCAGTCTCACTATGTTACCCCAGCTGGTCTTCAACTCCTGGACTCAAATGATCCTCCAGCCCGTGCCTCCAGAGTAGCTATGACCAGATCTGGGCCACTGCCCACGGTTTAAGGGTTACAGACTTTCTGTTTGGGGTGAAGAAAAGTTTTGGAAATAGATAATGGTAATGGTTGCACATCATTGCAAATGTAATTAATGTCACTGAATTATACACTTTAAAATGGTTAAAATGACAAATCTGATGTTACTTTACCACAATAAAAAATCAATTAAAAAATTTGTGATTACTCAAATCCTTATCAGTAATCAATAGGTGAATCAAGACAAATTGTGTTATCCATACAAATGAGTTCTATTAGGTAATAAAATGCGTAAATTTCTGCTACATATAACATGGATGAATCTCAAAAGCATTGTGTTAAGTGGAAGAAGCCAGAAACAAAAGACTACTCACATGTTTCTATATATACGAAATTCTAGAAAAGGCAAAACTTTTAACGGAGAGCAGATGAGCGGTTGCCATGGGCTGAGAATGGGAAAGAGGATTAGTATGGGGCATGGGAAGCTTTCTGAAGGGGTGGAAGCATTCTGTGTCTAGATTCTGGTGGTGAATACATAACTGTACATATTGACAAAACTCATTAAACTTTGCACTTAAAATAGGTGAATTTTATTGAATTTTAACTATATATCAATAAAGCTAATTACAATTAAAATGTCATATCTAGATAAATTATAAAATGCCTCTTCCACTCCTTATGTTCCTCTCTTTTATATTTTCATTGATATGTGAACTTCTTGTTTTTTAGAAAAATATGAATTAAGGCCGGGCACGGTGACTTACACCTGTAATCCCAGCACTTTGGGAGGCCAAGGCAGGTGGATCGCCTGATGTCAGGAGTTTGAGATAAGCCTGGTCAACATGGTGAAACCGTGTCTCTATTAAAAAATACAAAAAAATTGCTGGACGTGGTGGCAGGCACCTGTAATCCCAGCTACTCGGGTGGCTGAGGCAGCAGAATCGCTTGAGCCCAGGAGGCAGAAGTTGCAGTGAGCAGAGATCGTGCCATTGCACTCCAGCCCAGGAAACAAGAGTGAAGCTCTATCTAAAAAAAAAATATATATATATACATATATATATGAATTAAAATAGGACTAGTAATATTTGGGCAGACTCATGTCAATGTGGATCTGAAAAAAGTCAGCGTCATGACATCCCCAGGAAGTGGCCTGTTCCCACTGTGCAGTTCAGTTACACGTCTGTCTCCCCTTAAGGCTCGCTATTTATTTATTTATTTAATTTATTTATTTATTTTTTATTGAAAAAAATTTATTTTTAGCCGGGTGCAGTGGCTCACGCCTGTAATCCCAGCACTTTGGGAGGCCAAAGCCGGCAGATCACCTGAGGTCAGGAGTTCAAGACCAGCCTGGCCATCATGACGAAACCCCATCTCTACTAAAAATACAAAACTAGCCGGGCGTGGTGGCGCATGCCTGTAATCCCAGCTACTCGGAAGGCTGAGGCAGGAGAATCACTTGAACCCGGGAGGTGGAGGTTGCAGTGAGCCGAGATTACGCCACTGCACTCCAGCCTGGACAACAAGAGTGAAACTCCGTCTCAGAAGAAAAAAAAATGTAATAGAGGTGAGGTCTCCTTATGTGGCCCAGGCTGGTCTCAAACTCCTTGGCTCAAGGGCCCTCCCACTTCAGACACCTAAAGTGCTAGGATGACAGGCGTGAGCCACTGCACTTGGCCACTTGAGGCTCTTGACACGCCTATAACACACTGCTTTGCACCTAATCAGAAAATATGTGTATAGAGGCCAGGCACGGTGGCTCACGCCTGTAACCCCAGCACTTTGGGAGGCTGAGGTGGGTGGATCACGAGGTCAGGAGTTTCCGACCAACCTGGCCAACATGGTGAAACCCCGTCTCTACTAAAAATACAAAAAAATTAGCTGGGCATGGTGGCGGGTGCCTGTGGTCCCAGCTACTCGGGAGGCTGAGGCAGTAGAATGGCGTGAACCTGGGGGGCTGAGATCACGCCAGTGCACTCCAGCCTGGGCAAGAGAGTGAGATTCGGTCTCAAAAAAAAAAAATTAACTGCGTGGTGGTGTGCGCCTGTAATCCAAGCTACTCAGGAGCTTGAGGCAGGAGAATCGCTTGAGCCCGAGAGGCAGAGGTGGCAGTGAGCCCAGATCACGCCACTGCACTCCAGCCTGGGTGACAGAGCAAAAGAGAGAGAGAGAGAGGAGGGAGAGAGGGAGGGAGGGAGGGAGGAAGGAAGAAAGGAAAGGAAGGAAGGAAAGAGGAAGGGGAAGGGGAAGGGAAGAAAAAAAATATATATATATATAAAAGATATGGATCAGAGGCTCTATATATATGCACACACACATATATATCATATACATATAATGTATAATGTGCGTATATATGTGTGTACGTACACACACACACACACACAATAGTCCCCCATATCTGCAGGGGATATGTTCCAAGAGCTCCAGCGGATACCTGAAACCACAGATCATACCAAACTCTGTATATTCAGATGCTTCTCCACTTATGATGGGGTCGAACTCCTATAAACCCGTTGTAAGTCAAAATATCCTAAGTTCAAAAGGCATTTAATGCTGGCAACACAGTAGACTGTCCCTGACTCACAATGGTTCAACTTACAATTTTTTTTTTTTTTTTTTTTTTGAGACAGGGTCTTGCTCTGTCACCCAGGCTGGAGTGCAGTAGCACAATCATTGTTCACTGCAGCCCTGATCTGGGCTCAAGTGATCCTCCCACCTCAGTCTCTCGGATAGCTGAGACCGCAGGCATGCGCCACCATACCTGGCTAATGTTTTAGTTCTATAGAGACAGGGTCTCACTATGTTGCCCAAGCTGATCTCAAACTCCTGGCCTCAAGTGATCCTCTCACCTCCACCTCCCAAAATGTTGGGATTACAGGCGTAAGCCACCACGCCCAGTCCCAATTTACTTTTGACTTTGTGATGGTGCAAAAGCAATGAGTATTCAGTAGAAACCGTAATCCCATCATAAAGGGTAAGGAGTTCACTGATGATGGAGTTAGGTCCCTAGAAACCTGTCGTAAAGTTGGAAACTTAGAAGTCAAACCACTATAAGTAGAGGACTGTCTGTACTATGCTTTTTCCTATACATACATATCTGTAATAAAGTTTAATTTATAAATCAGGCATAGTAAGAAGTTCGCAACAATAATAATAAAATAGAACAGTTATAACAACATACTGTAATGAAAGTTATGTGAATGTGGTCTTTCTCATTGAAAATATTTTATGTAAGTTTTTTGAACTGCAGTTGACCACAGATAGCTAAAACTTTGGAAAGCAAAGCTTCAGTTAAGGGGGGATTACTTTACATCACACATAAATAATGAAATATTTCACAGCATGAAGAATTAAACATTGGGGGAGGGCCAGGGCTGAAAAACTATCTGTAGGTACCGCGCTCACTACCTGAGTGACGGGAATCACTCATACCCTAACCTCAACATCACACAATAGACACGGAACAAGCCTGTATATGTATCCCCGGATCTAAAATAAAAGTTGAAATTATATTTTTAAAATTTGCATTAAAGGCCAGGTGCAGTAGTTCACGCCTATAATCCCAGCACTGTGGGAGGCCGAGGCGGGTGGATCACTTGAGGTCAGGAGTTCAAGACAGCCTGGCCAACCTGGCGAAACCTCATCTCTACTAAAAATACAAAACTTAGCTGGGAATGGTGGTGTGCGCCTGTAATCCCAGCTACTCAGGAGGCTGAGGCAGAAGAATCACTTGAACCTGGGAGGCAGAGGTTGCAGTGAGCCAAGATCGCACCACTGCACTCCAGCCTGGACCACAGATCGAGACTCCGTCTCAAAAAAAAAAAATTGCATTAAAAAAGAATTAAACATAATGTGTAAAATATATTTGTAACTTGTGTGAGATAATTAACACCCATGTAAACACAACCAATATCAAACATACGTCATTACCCATCACATCACTGACACTCAGGTGTGCCCTCTCCAATCCTGCCTTCTTTCTGGATTCCTTCCTAGGAACTACTATCCTATATTTCATCTTCAACATATCCTTTTAAAAACAGTTTTACGACTTAGGAACTCAGAATTGTTTTAGAAACTTGTTTAGTCGGGTGTTTTCCATTTTTCAAGACTGTAGCTTTTCTTTTCTTTTTCTTTTTTTTTTTGAGATGGAGTCTTGCTCTGTCTCCCAGGCTGGAGCTCAGAAACAGACCCGGTCCAGGATAAATAATTTTTTTTTTTCTTGAGACAGAGTCTCACTCTGTCGCTCAGGCTGGAGTGCAGTGGCGCGATCTCAGCTCACTGCAACCTCCGCCTCCCCGGTTCAAGCGATTGTTCTGCCTCAGACTCCCCAGTAGCTGGGACTACAGCTGCACACCACCATGCCCGGCTAATTTTTGTATTTTTAGTAAAGACAGGGTTTCACCATGTTGGCCAGGCTGGTCTTGAACTCCTGGTCTCAAGTGATCCTCCTGCCTCGGTTTCCCAAAGTGCTGGAATTACAGGTGTGAGCCACCAAACCCGGCCAGACTGTAGCTTATGGTAAAGAAGACAAGGGGAGGGGTGCCCTGGGAGGGTGGGGGTAGGAGAGAGGAAGGGTGCCCTGAGAAGGTGGGGGTTAGGAGAAGGGAGGGGTGCACTGGGAGGGTGGGTGTAGGAGAGGGAAGGGTGCCCTGAGAAGGTGGGGGTTAGGAGAAGGGAGGGGTGCACTGGGAGGGTGGGTGTAGGAGAGGGAAGGGTGCCCTGAGAAGGTGGGGGTTAGGAGAAGGGAGGGGTGCACTGGGAGGGTGGGTGTAGGAGAGGGAAGGGATGCCCTGAGAAGGTGGGGGTTAGGAGAAGGGAGGGGTGCACTGGGAGGGTGGGGGTAGGAGAGGGAAGGGATGCCCTGAGAAGGTGGGGGTTGGAGAGGGGAGGGGTGCTCTGGGAGGGTGGGGGTAGGAGAGGGGAGAGGTGCCCTGGGAGGGTGGCCAGAGGACAGGGGAGGAGTGCACAGGGAGAGTGGGGGTAGGAGAGGGGAGGGATGCACGGGGAGGGTGGAGGTAGCAGAGGGGAGGGGTGCATGGGGAGGGTGGGGGCAGGAGAGGGCAGGGGTGCTTGGGGAGGGGTTGTAGGAAAGAGGAGGGGTGCACTGGGAGGGTGGGGGTAGGAGAGGGGAGGGGTGCACTGGGAGGGTGTGGGTAGGAGAGGGGAGGGGTGCCCTGGGAGGGTGTGGGTAGGAGAGGGGAGGGGTGCCCTGGGAGGGTGGGGGTAGGAGAGGGGAGGGGTGCCCTGGGAGGGTGGGGGTAGGAGAGAGGTGGGGTGCCCTGAGAGGGTGGGCGTAGGATATGAAGCAACAGTGACTCCTACCCCAGGGGCCCAAGGGTCCTGGGGCAGGGTGGGGTCAGGAATCGGGAGGGATGGGGTGTCTCTTCCCCCATCAACCCTCTGGCTGACAGGCCACCGGACTCCTCAGTCACAGCAAGGAACCTGTCCTGCTCCTGGGAGCAGGGCGCCTGTGGAGAACGGCCCCCTCACAGCCTGCCCACACTGCTGCGATGTCCCCGCATGTCTGCACATCCTCCCTCCGAGACGGTCCCATCGTGCAGTGCGGGGCTTGCAGTGTGTAATTCTGTGTTGAGGCAAATTAACCACCCAGGGTGTTAACAACTCACAACTTTAATCCACTGCCCACCCAGATGTCTGACCGGGGCCCAAGGAAAGATGGGTGTGTGGTTGGCCTTTCAAGCGGGTGCTCTAGATCATGGGGCCAGGAGACGCCGTTGTGCAGGAATGCATTTAGTGCCTTCAAATCACGGCACCTCTGAGAAAGCACCGTCTACACACTTCAGCAACATCAACCCCCCTGACGATCTCTTCTACAGAAAACGTTCCCATCAGAAAAGTCTGTTTTTTTTGTTTTTGTTTTTGTTTTGTTTTTTGTTTTTTTTTTGAGACAGAGTTTCACTCTTGTTGCCCAGGCTGGAGTGCAATGGCGCGGCCTCAGCTCACTGCTACCTCCGCCTCCTGGGTTCAAGTGATTCTCCTGCCTCAGACTCCTGAGTAGCTGGGATTACAGGTGCACACCACTACGCCCGGCTAATTTTGTATTTTTAGTAGAGATGGGGTTTCTCCAGGTTAGCCACGCTGGTCTTGAACTCCTGACCTCAGGTGATTCACCTACCTTGGCCTCCTAAAGTGCTGGGATTACAGGTGTGAGCCACAGCGCCCAGCCCAGAAAACTCTTAAAGGGGAAACTAAAAATGATGGACAGCGAGGGAAAACTACCAGCTGGAGCATGGCTTTTGGATGAGTGGAATTCAGAGCCCTGGCTGTCCGCCAATCAAACACTAAAAGCACTTGCCGCACTGCGGCTTCGTGTGAATTTCACCCCTCCTCCTGACTTTATTCCCCTAGAAATTATAACATTTGGAGAAACCCTTCCAAAAATGTGAACCAGGAGGTTAGCAAAGAGGTGGCCTAATTTGATATCTGAAGAGACAAGCAAGATCAGAAGGTAAAACCTTAAAACCAGGCTGCTGGGGAGTTCCTTGTTCTGTCCTGAGGTCCTAGCTAGGTGAGCACGTCATCGGCTAGATGTCCAGGCAACAACAGAAGTGATCGGCTCAATTCCATGGAGGAAGAGACCGCACATTCTCTACATCTGTGTCTCTCCCTCGCCACCCAGCAAGGCTTTTCTTTCATTCTTCCTTCAGTCGGATATTTATTAAGTGATCACTACCTGACAGACACTTGGGGGGCTAGGGATATAACGATGAAAAAGATGTAATCCCTTTCCTTGAGGAGCTTAAAGTCTAGTGGGGACACTGCTGACGCAAAAAGCAATTCTTTTTTTTTTTTTTTTTTTTTTTTTTTGAGACACAGTCTCGCTCTTGTTGCCCAGGCTGGAGTGCAGCGGCATGCTCTTGGCTCACTGCAACCTCCGCCTCTCGGGTTCAAGTTATTCTCCTGCCTCAGCCTCCCAAGTAGCTGGAATTACAGGCATGCACCACGCCCGGCTAATTTTGTATTTTTAGTAGTGATGGGTTTTCGCCATGTGGGTCAGGCTGGCCAAAAAGTAATTCTAATCAAGTGTGGTAAGAAATAGAGCAGACATGAGCAGGGCGGGAGAGGGCCTCTACCCCAGTAATGTCAGGTGACTATCAGGTGATGGCCAGGCGGTTGTTACACTGTCTTTCTAAAATAATATTGGTCACAGCCAGCGTTGGGAAAGACAGTCTCCCAATAGATAGAAAATACCTGAACTTGGTGATCAGCAGCTTCCTGGTAAGAGCTCAGGAATTGGGCGAGTGGGCTCAAGCATCTACACTAAGAAGCAAAATGGTGGAGTTTAGCTGGTGTGTGTGACCTTCCTCTAGTGCTGCTCCGCGGGTAAGGGAAAAACGCCTCAAGTGAGCATGCGCACGACTTCAGTAAACACACTGCGCATGCGGCCCCTCCCAAGTGCCTGTGCGGCAGGCAGGCGCCAAGTCAAGGGTCTAACAGCACATTTGGGTGTCTCAAGTCACGCACTTGGCCCTTTTCCAAGTGTACTTTACTTCCTTTCATTGCTGCTCAAAAACTTTTTAATAAACCTTCACTCCTGCTCTCAAACTTGCTTCAGCCTCTCCCTCTGCCTTAAACCCACTTCTGCCCCTCAGCCGAATCTCTCCCCCGAGAAGGCAAGGATTGAGTTTGCTGCAGACTCGCTGGATTCACAGCTGGTAACAGTAAGTACCAGGCAGGGGCATCCAACTTAAGGTGTCATGGAAGCACATGGAGGAACCTAATCCTATCTGGCAGAAGCAAAACGAAGCTTCCCGGAGGAAGGGCTGCCCATGCCCAAACTTGATGGACGATGAGATACTAGGCAGGAAGAGTATTCTAGGTGCAAAGGCCAGAAGTTGACAGACTGAGGCAACAGGAGAAGGTAAGTGAATGGCGCAAAGTCACACAGACGCCAAGCTGCAGAGCCAGGCTCACTGGAGTGGAAGCGTGCACTCTCATCTGTGAGGCTAGGCTGTTCCCTGGCCGTCACCTCACCCTTTCATCTCTGCTTACCTGCATCTGGTGTCAAGAATCAGAATGGGAGAGACAGAACCTGGAGAAAGGCTGCGTCTTCAGAGTGGGGCTCCACTCCTCCAGCTCCAGGGCTGGACCTGAAGGTTGTCTTTCCAGGACTCTTTCCAGGAGGGCCAGGGAGGCTCTGTATATACGTAGAGGTCACCCAGGCGTGTGTGTGTGCGCGCCCCCACGCCCCTGCCCACAGGCCTGCATTGAAGGCGCTTCCGCTCCCCGGAGAGCCCTGTCCTGATGACCCACCCTCTGCTCATTTTCATGTGATTCTAAGGCAGGAAACGGGAGACATGGCCTCATGAGCTCCGCTGTCCTGATGAGTCACTGGATGCACCCGTGAGAAACACCTCACCCTCCGCTCTCCCCAGGCAGCAACACTTGCCACACCCCAGCTGTTCCTGTCCTCATCTGCCACCCCGCGAAGAATTTCGGCTCTTTGACAGAACAGCACCGAGCAGGGCAGCCACCCCTTTTTCCTCATCACTCTCCTTACCTTGCCCTTGGCTGACTCGATGTGTTGCATGGTTCCTGTACTAGACGTCTAACTTTTTTTTTTTTTTTTTTTTGAGACAGGGTCTCACTCTGTCACCCAGGCTGGAGTGCAGTGGCATGATCTCGGCTCACTGCAACCTCCGCCTCCCACACTCAAGCAATCCTCCCACCTCAGCCTCCTGAGTAGCTGGGATTACAGGCACCTGCCACCATGCCCGGCTAATGTTTGTATTTTTAATAGAGACGGGGTTTTGCCATTTTGGCCAGGCTGGTCTCGAACTGCTGACCTCAGGTGTTCGCCTCAGCCTCCCAAAGTGCTGAGATTACAGGTGTGAGCCACCGCACTCAGCCTCTTGTTCAAGCCCCAGGCCACTATCATCTTGTACCATACTCTCACCAAATTGCTGAGGATTTTGTGGTGCTCTCTGTGTGGGAGATCCGTGACCCTCTATGGACAAGCTCCTATTCAAGATTCAGTTCAAACATTCCCAGTGAAGTCTGCCAGGATTTCTTTACTCCGAGTTAGGTACTTCTTTCTCTATGCTCCCATTGCATTTTAAACATCTAGATATTATATACAGTAAAGTGCACAAATCTTTTCTTTTCTTTTTTTTTTTTTTGAGACGGAGTTTCACTCTTGTTCCCAGGCTGGAGTGCAGTGGCACAATCTCAGCTCACTGCAACCTCTGCCTCCTGGCTTCAAGCAATTCTCCTGCCTCAGCCTCCCAAGTAGCTGGGATTACAGGCACGTGCCACCACGCCTGGCTAATTTTGTATTTTTAGTAGAAACACGGTTTCTCCATGTTGGTCAGGCTGGTCTCAAACTCCCGACCTCAGGCGATCCACCCGCCTCCGCCTCCCAAAGTGCTGGGATTACAGGTGTGAGCCAGCACGCCCAGCCTAAAGTGCACAAATCTTAATGTTAAAGTCTGATGAATTTTTACATGTATACCCTGGTGAACCAGCACAGAAATCAAGATACAGGACATTCCAAATCCCCAGAGGTTTCATTGTGTCGCCTGTCATTCGTATCCCTTGTCCCCAGTGTTAACTTTCATTTTGGCTCTTATAATAATTGATTAGGTTTTAGTTGTTCTTGAATTTCACATAAATGGAATCAAACAGTTTTCTTTAAAAAAAAAAAAAAAAAAGGCGGTTTTGCTGTGTCATCCAGGCGGGAGTGCAGTGGCACAATCATGACTCACTGCAGCCTTTTGCCTTCATAGGCTCAAGTGATCCTCACACTTCAGCCTCCTGAGTAGCTGGGACCACAGGCAAGCGCCACCACGCCAGCTGATTTTTTAATTTCGTGTACAGATGGGGTCTCACCATGTAGCCCAGTCTGGTCTCGAACTCCTAGGCTCAAGTGATCCTCCTGCCTCGGCCTCCCAAAGTGCTGGATTACAAGCGTGCGCCACCGCGCCCAGCCCAGTATGGCTTTTGTGTGTGGCTTTCTTCACTCAATATTCTATATGTAAGATTCATCCATCATGTAATTTATTTTTCTTTTATTGCTGAGTATTATTACATTGGATATTACAACTTTTTCTACTCTTAATGGACATTTATATTTTCAACTTTTGCCTGTTATAAATAATGCTGCTATGAATATTCTTCTGCATGTCTTTTGAAGGAACTATGCACTAATTTTTCCAGGGAATATTCTTAGGAGTAGGATTGCTATCATAGGGCAGGTGAATATTTAATTTTGGCAGATATTGCCAAACAGATTCCCAAAGTAGTCCTAATTTACACACCCACCAGCAGTGTGTGACAGTTCCAGTTTCTACACATTCTCACAAACATTTTTAATTTTAGGCATTGTGGTGGGTGTTTAGTGTAATCTCCTTGTGTTTGAATTTGCATCTCCTTGATGAGTAAGCACCTTTTCATATACGTATTAGCCATTTGAAGATCCTCTTTGAGAAGTTCCCGTCCATGGTTTTTGCCCATTTGTTATGGGTTATCTTTTTTTCTGTTTTCTGGTTCATTATAATTCCAGGTATGAGACCTTTATCAGGTAAATTTATTGTGAATGTTTTCCCCCAGTTTGTGGTTTGACTTTTTACTCTCTTTATTATGTCTTATTTTATTTTATTTTATTTTATTTTATTTTATTTTATTTTATTTTATTTTATTTTATTTTATTTTATTTTATTTTTTGAGACAGAGTCTAGCTCTGTTGCCAGGCTAGAGTGCAGTGCCACGACGATCTTGGCTCACTGCAACCGCCATCTCCCGGGTTCAAGAGATTCTCCTGCCTTAGCCTGCCGAATAGCTGGGATTACAGGCATGGGCTGCCACGCTCAGCTAATTTTCGTATTTTTAGTAGAGACAGGGTTTCACCATGTTGGCCAGGATGGTCTCAATTTCCTGACCTCGTGATCCACCCTCCTCGGCTTCCCAAAGTGCTGGGATTACAGGCGTGAGCCACCCCGCCTGGGCTTACTTGAAGAGAAAGTACTGATTTTAATTAAGCTCCATTTATGCATCTTCTTTTATGGTCAATATTTTTGTGTCTGCTTAGGAAATCTTTGCCCACTTCCCACTGGAGTGTGACTCACTTCTTACTCCACCGCTGTGAGGTCCTTGCAGGCAGGGACTAACTCTTACTCTGCTCTGTATATTCTGAGCCTCACACAGAGCTTGGAACATGGTAGAAGCTCAAGAATGACTTGATGAATGAATTAATTCGTGCAATGCATAATTCATGCAACACAGTCTCTGCACAGAGATTTTACTTCCAGTGATGAAAACAAACGATTACTGAGGAAACCCCTGATGCACATACATGAGAAGGGATCGTTATGACTGGCTATCACAGTTCCATTTTTAAAAATAAAATTGGAACTCTTCATTAATTTTCGTGTCATCCTTGCACGGGAACCACGTTAAACTAATCTGCATCGTCCCAATTTTAGTATATGTGTTGTCAAAGCAAGCACAGTTTAAGTCTTCTAAACTGTTTATGAGCTGCTTTCTATATAAGAATTTCTGTTTTTTTTTTTTTTTTTTTTTTTTTGAGACGGAATCTTGCTCTATTGCCCAGGCTGGAGTGCAGTGGCGCAATCTTGGCTCACTGCAACCTCCACCCCCAGGTTCTAAGCGATTCTCCTGCCTCAGCCTCCTGAGTAGCTGGGATTACAGGTGCCCACCACCATGCCTGGCTAATTTTTGTATTTTTAGTAGAGACGGGGTTTTGCCATGTTGGCCAGGCTGGTCTCGAACTCCTGACCTCAAGTGATCCACCCGCCTTGGCCTACCAAAGTGCTGGGATTACAGGCGTGATCCACTGCACCTGGCCAGCAAAAGAGATTTCGCATGCAGTGTCTGTTAGAACATCTCATATTTAGGCAATCAGAATAACTGAATGGCTGATTGCCGTATATCACTCAGATTTTTTTTTTCTCTCGATATGGGGTCTCGTACTGTCACCCGGGCTGGAGTGCAATGGCACAGTCTTGGCTCACTGAAACCTCTGCCTCCTGGATTCACTCGATTCTCCTGCCTCAGCCTCCCCAGTAGCTGGGATTACAGGCTCACACTGCCACACCCAGCTAATTTAATTTTTTAATTTTCTAATTTTTAGTAGAGACAGGGTTTCACTATGTTGGCCAGGCTGCTCTCGAACTCCTGACCTTGTGTTCCGCCTTCCTCGGCCTCCCAAAGTGCTAGGATTACAGGCGTGAGCCACCACGCCTGGCCTAGCACTCAGATTTTTAGATGATATCTCCATGTCCAACCCAATGGCTTATGTAGATATCATTAAAATGTTGCTTGTGGGACAAAGGAAAGTGCTGGAATTTGTTTTTAATCCCTTAAAGTGTCAAACTTAGTGTGGGGCTGGTGATGGCAGCTGTGGGTTTTTGCTCCTTCGGGTAAACTTGTGATGATTAATTCAATGATTATCTTATGGACAAGACACTTCTTTCTTTTTTTTTTTTTTTTGAGACGGAGTCTCGCTCTGTCGCCCAGGCTGGAGTGCAGTGGCGCGATCTCGGCTCACTGCAAGCTCCACCTCCCGGGTTCACGCCATTCTCCTGCCTCAGCCTCCCGAGTAGCTGGGACTACAGCGCCCGCCACCACAACCGGCTAATTTTTGTATTTTTAGTAAAGACGGGGTTTCACCGTGTTGGCCAGGATGTTCTCGATCTCCTGACCTCGTGATCCGCCCGCCTCGGCCTCCCAAAGTGCTGGGATTACAGGCGTGAGCCGCCGCGCCCGGCTGAACAAGACACTTCTTTAAGAAATCATGTACTTGAGATAAACGGGTCTCGTAAGGCTAGCGTTGGGACTATCTCTTCATTTCCATGTGGCGAGCCTCCTAGGGCAACAGAGGCACGGTCGCTGCCATGAAAGCACTGAAGCTTCACCTCTTTGAGACGTGTTAATAACCGCGGAGTGTGGCTCTACTGGAGATGGAGCTACTTGCTGTTACTTTGTCGGTGATGCTCCTAGGGAGGAGCAAATGGGAGTCTGAGGACATAAATGACGAACAGGGCCTGGGCTGAGAAAACCAGTCATGCCACAAAAGGCTTCCTGAGGCTGAAAGATTTGGGAGACGGCCAGGTGCCAGTGACCCACACCTGTAATCCCAGCACTTCGGGAGGCAGAGGCCGGTGGATCACTTGAGGCTGTAACCGCCCAAGGGGTTCACTTGCCCGCTGTCTAGACAGAGCCGATTCGTCATGACAGGGGAATTGCCATAGAGAAAGAGTAATTCACGCACAGCCGGCTGTGCGGGAGACCGCAGTTTTATTATTACTCAAATCAGTCTCTCCCAGCATTCGGGGAGCAGAGTTTTTAAGGACAGCTTGGTGGGTGTGGAGAGCCAGTGAGCCGGGAGTGCTGATTGATCAGGGATGGAATCACAGGGAGTCAGCTGTCTTCTTGCGCTGAGTCAGTTCCTGGGTCGGGGCCACAAGATCAGATGAGCCAGTTTATCCACCTGGGTGGTGCCAGCTGATCCATCAAGTGCAGGGTCTGCAAAGTATCTCAAGCGCTGATCTTAGGAGCAGTGTAGGGAGGGTCAGAATCTTGTAGCCTCCAGCTGCATGGCTCCTAAACCATCATTTCTAATCTTGTGACTAATGTTAGTCTAGTCCCCCGGCAAGAAGGAGGTCTGCTTTGGGAAAGGGCTGTTACCGTCTTTGTTTTAAACTATAAATTAAGTTTCCCCCCAAGTTAGTTCAGCCTACGCCCAGGAATGAACAAGGGCAGCTTGGAGGTTAGACGCAAGATGGAGTCGGTTAGGTTGGATCTCTTTCACTGTCTCAGTCATCATTTTGCAAAGGCGGTTTCAAGGCCAGGAATTTGAGACCAGCATGACCAACATGGTGAAACCGTCTTTACTAAAGATACAAAAATTAGCTGGGCGTGGTGTGCACAACCGTAGTCCCAGCTACTGGGGAGGCTGAGGTGGGAGGACTGCTTGAGTACGAGAGGCGGAGGTTGCGGTGAGCCGAGATCGCGCCACTGCACTCCAGTCTCGGCAACAGAGTGAGACTCTGTTTAAAACAAAAAACAAAAACAAACAAAAAAAGTCCTGGCGCGGTGGCTCACGCCTGTAATCCCAGCACTTTGGAGGCGGAGGCAGGTGGATCACGAGGTCAGGAGATCGAGACCATCCTGGCTAACACGGTGAAACCCCATCTCTACTAAAAATACAAAAAATTAGCCGGGCGTGGTGGCACGTGCCTGTAGTCCCAGCTACTCGGGAGGCTCAGGCCGGAGAATGGCGTGATGAACCCGGGAGGCGGAGGTTGCAGTGAGCCGAGATCACACCACTGCACTCCAGCCTGGGAGAAAGAGTGAGACTCCGTCTCAAATAAAAAAAACAAAAAATAAAGACTTAGGAGAACAGGCTAGACAGATGTTCCATTCTGGGGTATATTTGGGGATCTGGAGGTGGTATTTGAGCAAGAAATAGAGGAAGTTGATGAAATAGAATTCACTGGCAGAAGAGAAGATGATACAGCCAGACAACCAGGCCAGCTGTTTTCTAGTGTTCCCCAGATGAGAGCGACAGGACTAATCAGCCTCCTGTGGGTGGGCTCTAAACTCAACTGAAAGCTGACAAGAGAGCACATTCCCTTAATTGGAGGGAGAAAAAAAGGGAAGATATTGAAAGAGCTGCCTTTTATACCAGACCACTGAAGAGGAAGTTAGGGTTTTCTCATTAGTATATAAAAATCGTAAACTTCCACCCACCCAAAGTAGATTTCTGCCTCCAACATTGCACTGAAACTGTTCTTGGTCTCCAGTGATTTCGTGTCTCTGATGAACGCTACACTGTCCTCTTTACTTGACTCTAGACATAGTTAGCCACAGGATCCTTCTTGAACATTCTTACTCTTGGCTCCCTTGACACCCCACTCTGGTGTTTTTTTGTTTCTTTTTTTTGAGACAGAGTTTTGCTCTTGTCCCTCAGGCTGGAGTCTGGAGTCCAGTGTCACCATCTTGGCTCACTGCAACCTCCACCTCCCGGGTTCAAGCAATTCTCCTGCCTCAGCCTCCCGAGTACCTGGAATTACAAGCAACCGTGCCACCACACCCGGCTAATTTTTGTGTTTTTAGTAGAGGCGGGGTTTCACCATATTGGCCGGGCTGGTCTAGAACTCCTGAGCTCAAGTGATCTGCCCACCTTGGCCTCCCAAGGTGCTGGGATTACAGGCGTGAGCCACTGCGCCCGGCTGAGATTTCTCCTTTAAATAGAACGTTGTGGAGTTTACTTTTAGGCTGAGACCTAAAGGATAAAAGAAAGTGATCCGTGCTAAGACGAGGAGAACTCAAGCAGAAGACATGCCTCGGCTGTGGAGCAGGAAGGTGTTTGATGTTGGGGTTTGAGAGAAGGCCAGTCAGCTGGCAGGCAGGGGGCAAAGGGGGTGGCATGAAGCAAGGAGCTTGGGCATTCTGAGTGGAAGGAGAAGCCAGTATGCGGAGAATGGGTCGGAAGAGAGTAAGAGCAGAGACTACTGCAGTGGTCACGATAAAAAGCAGGTCACTTGGACCAGAGTAATGGCAATAGACTGAAAAGTAGGGTTACCTTTTATGCATTTTGGAGGCAGAAGTTAAAGGACTTGCTGTTGGATTAGAGATGGGGGAATAAGCAAAAGAAAATGACTTAAGTTTCTGGCAGGTTCATAGGTAGTGGTGTCACTGCAGGTCTGGGTGGGGAGGCGTCATCTTAGATGTAAGTGTGATACTTCCAACTATAGGCGCAGTGTAAAAAGTCGGACATGTGAGTCTGAAGCTTGGAGGAGAGACGGGCTGGAGTTGGAGATGTGAGAAATCATTGGCATTATACATGGCGGTTGGTACTATCAGAATGAGATCACAGAGGGAGAGTTAGAGGGCCAGGTCCTGGGGATCACCAC
The DNA here is from genome assembly GCF_000001405.40 of Homo sapiens. Lineage (NCBI taxonomy): Eukaryota > Metazoa > Chordata > Mammalia > Primates > Hominidae > Homo > Homo sapiens. The sequence goes on from NC_000003.12 coordinate 196,346,147, forward strand.
CATAAAGACCCAATCAAGGAGGTGCAGGCAGTGAGAAGAAACACCAGGCAGGGCGCAGTGGCTCACATCTGTGATCCCAGCACTGTGGGAGGCCGAGGCAGGTGAATCACTTGAGGTCAGGAATTCGAGACCAGCCTGGCCAACATGGTGAAACCCCGTCTCTACTAAAAACACAAAAATTAGCCGGGCGTGGTGGCGGGCACCTGTAGTCCCAGCTACTCGGGAGGCTGAGGCAGGAGAATTGCTTGAACCTGGGAGGCGGAGCTTCCAGTGAGCTGTGATCAAATCACTGCACTCCAGCCTGGGCAACAGAGCGAGACTCTGTCTCAAAATTAAAAAAATAAAGAATTCTCTACTGGCTCCTTTTCTATTTTTTTTTTTTCATTCTATTAGAATCAGATCTGTTTTTCCATGTATGTTTATCGTCTGTTTCCAACTAGAAAGTAAGTTCCTTGAGGGCAGAGGCTGTATCTGTTTTGCTCCCCATCACATACATCCCTATTATTTGGCACATGAGGCTGGAGCATGGGGATGAGAAATGGTTCCACAAGAAAAGGGGGGGCACAAACCCATCACTGTAGAACTGTGAGCTAAGCAGCAGTCCCTTTTTTTTTTTTTTTTTTTTTTTTTTTGAGATGGAGTCACTCTGTCACCCAGGCTGGATGCTATCTCGGCTCACTGCACCCTCCACTTCCCAGGTTCAAGCAAGTCTCCTGCCTCAGCCTCCCGAGTAGATGGGATTATAGGCACTGCCACCACGCCCGGCTTTTTTCTTTTTTTTTTTTTTGAGACAGAGTTTCACTCTTGTCGCCCAGGCTGCAGTGCAGTGGCACGATCTCGGCTCACTGCAACCTCTGCCTCCTGGGTTCAAGCGATTCTCCTGTCTCAGCCTCCCAAGTAGCTGGGATTACAGGCGGCCGCCACCACACCCAGCTAATGTTTGTATTTTTAGTAGAGACGGGGTTTCACCATGTTGGCCAGGCTGGTCTCGAACTCCTGACCTCAGGTGATCCGCCCATCTCAGCCTCCCAAAGGGCTGGGATTACATGCATGAGCCACTGCATCCAGCAGCAATAACAATTTCTGTCATACCATATAATCGTATCTCCTTTTTGCCCATTAATTTAGTAATTATCTTTCCTTCAATTAAGCTAAGTCCTTAATTAACCATTAGTAATTACTGCTGGTCTGAAAGAACAGACACTGAATATTCGCCCAAGTATGTCAAACACAGAATCATACTTACCTAACAAGCCTAGCTTACCCAATGTTTCTGTAACAACTGGACTAATATTTACAGAGTGTTTACCATGAATGTTTGACATACCACAAAGAGCAGAAAAAAGGCTAGCAAACGTTACACATAACAACGGGACTACAAAGTAACCTTTGTCAATCAATAGTAACTGACCTAAATGAGAACGTGAGGGGGCAAGCTTTTGGAATCTCAATTGTATTACTGAAAGTAATATCCAGAGTCTTATCTTGTAAAAACAACAACACAAAAAAAACTAATACTGAAAAGTTTTTGTTTTTATTTCCAAGATCAAATATTACAACAGGACATTTACATGTATTTATAAAAAAATGCAGCAGTTGAATGTATAGATCAGAGGTTTCCTTGAGTTTGGTCCCTCTCTCAGCACAGTGAGCTGATGTCTTCAAAAGACTTATCGTCCCACTCCCTTCCCTCCCCCACCCCATTGTCCCCCCACCCTCCCCGTTTCAAGTTGCAGTATTAATATAAAGCAACTGGGTACAACACAGCAAGAGTATTCACAATTTGGTACAGACCAAACCAGAGGATCCCCAACTGACAGCAAGATCCTCCTTCTGGAAATTATTACCTATAGACTAGGTAGATCTATAGGTAGATCACACCCAGTTATCTAAGATTTCCCTGGTTTTAGAGCAAGTGGAAGTTCCATTGAGTCTTAGCCAGTAGTTACAACTCTGCGTTACCTAATGGCATGTTTTTCTCCTCTTACAAGTTTAATTTTCTACCGCCTCCATGTGTCTTCAAATTTAAGGCTTTCCCAAGCACCTTTATTATGACTTACTAGATATACAGGAGGGTCTCTAATGTGTCTTGAACAAAAAAATTTAGTGGATGGTCCAGCTGCCCCTTGCTCAACAATCCCAAAGACTTCTTCCCACCACTGAGAAGAGCTGCAGAAATCAACGGTATCTCCTAGCACCATTGGAGAAAAGGCCCAGAAAACAGAATTCGATGTGCATTTTAGGGAGCACTTGCCAGAAACATTACAACAGGAGCACTGTCTCTGTTATCTTCTTGGATTCAATCACAAATTTAGAGTACAGATGAAATTTAGAGCCTGTCCTGCATTAAGAATGCAAATCTCAGTAAGACCACCCCCACACACACTTTGTCCAGAATAAGTTGAGCCACAAACATCCCAGGGAATCTCTAAATACTGTTAGGAACTGCTTTAGAAAACACTTTAAAGCAAATACCCCAAGTTGACTTCACTCAAGCCCCCAACCCACCCTCATCATCCCTATCCCCCTAGAAATTTCATTCCTTGATTAACTTCTCTGAGTAAGATGTAAAGTGAGGTTTGGAAAATGACATGAAACATGAAACATGTTTAAAAACACAATCAATGAAGACATGCCAGAACTGGACATCCCAGGTGACTTCAAATGCATTGTTCAAGCCGAACTCATACAAAGCATGCACAGAGCCTGCACAGACACTGCTGAGAGTTTCCAGGGAACAATCAATACCTACTCGAAAAAGGACTTTCCTGAAGGGCAAACAAAACAAAACAAAACAAAACAAAACAAACAAAACAAAAAGTAACACTGGATGTTTAGAATTTGTTAACAACAACAACAACAAAAAACCATTCTGGAAAAAAAGATTATCAGAGGAGTGAAGAAAACCGTGTCTAACAGATTCATGCCAAAGCTTGGATGGAAGCCCCTCAAAGTCTAAGTATCGTGTTAGCATCAACTGGTACTCATTTCTCTATATCTAAGACTAGAAGATTCTCTCACAGCTTTACTGTTTCCTGGCAAGTGTTTTCAACAGCCTTTCCAGCTGAAGGGACGAACCCAGGAAAGTAACAAGGCCCAAGACCCCACATGGGTCAGATAAGCAGCCCCTACTAGAAGCTTGCTACTCGTTAACTGAAAAGTGGAGGCCACGCACTACTTTCACTCTCTCTAGCAGGTGAAAGGGGATTTTCTGATGGCAACAGTCACTCCGTGTAAGGTTTAACTTACAGGGCAATAAGTTATCAAAAAGTTATTGTTAAAAGCATATGATTAGTGTCATAAACATATTTATATTTGGAATTACACCATTTGATATCTCCATTAAGAATGCAAAGCTTTGAGAAAAGCATACTGTAAAATCATGTTGCTGCAAACAGCAAGGCATCCAGCTGAGTGTAAGCAGTCTAATGTCATCAAACTGAAATGGACCCTCGTGACGGGCACTATGGAACCAGCTACCTAGATAGAGAGAAAAAAGGAGAATGGCAGGGAACGGTTCCAGATCAAGAATCTCTCCCTTATCAGTTAAGAGTTCCATACTGAGTCTATGAAAAAAGCAAATTAAAAAGATTTTAAGAAAGGGGGAATTCAATTCCAGGTCAGAATTTATCTAATGATTTGATATGTTTCCCATTTATCATGTCTAAAAAATGAATGACTCATGCTAACCCAGTTAGATTAATAACTTCTTTTGATGAGAAAAAATATTACTTAGGTTTAGTCCAGCTTAGCTTGACTATTCTTCCCATTTGAAAACCCAAATGACCTTTAGAAGGGATATAAAATACCCAGAGTATTGTGATCTCTAGAGAGGAAATACAATTAAACAATAAAAACTTGCTGTTTGTTGCCAAAGAATTAAGTACAATAATGCGACTTCTCATATTTATAGATTAATCTGTGATTGCTCTTGGGAAAAATACTATCATTGGTATTTGCCATCTCTAATCCTAGAAATAAATCTGGTTATCTTTTGAAAATACTTTCTCATTACAGGAATGCTAAATTATGTTTATTAAAGTAGTTCAAATTGGATTGCCCAACTTTATTTTGAAATCAATAGCAAAGAAAGGCCTGTGCCAAAAATCATCATGTTTATGAGAATATCTGCAATTTTAAGCAACACAACAGCAACTGGTAGGCCACAAAGAGGGTGGGGTATCACAGAGCTAGCCATTCTCTATATGAAACCAGAGAATTCTCCTTAACTAGGGAGAAAATGAGCTATAAAAGTAAGTTTGCCTCAAAAATGTCCTTCAATTTTATAAAAAATGAAGATTGTTACATATTAAGACTTTGAAATGGAATTTCTTAAACATAGCCAATTACACTAAAAATCATAACTATTTTCAGAGAATGAATGTTAAAAATAAATGGTGGAGAAGTAAAATGGAAAGCAGGATTAAAAGATTTCTAATTAAGGGTCTGTCACTTCACAGGACAACTAGCAAGGCCATTATAATCTCTATTTTTAAAAAGACATCAAGAAATTCTTGATTCTATACTGTCTCTCTAGCAGGACTGACACACAGGTGAGTCAAAAACCATAACCATCACTGAAATACCAAATCTCTATGTAACAGGAGAAACCGATATATTGGTATGGTATTCTCTGTTGGGTTATCTGCAGTTCTAAAGAACATTCTTGCCACTATTCTAAAATGTGTACAGTGCAACACCATGTTTCACGGCAAGACAATAACTGAAAAGCTAAGCCAGGCAATCCAGTGAAGTTGAATGTCCATAGTACACAGCTGTCTTTAGCCTATTCATCAAGGCTGGTATTACCGGAAAACTGCCATGTTCACCAGAAGAGCTGTCTCTTCCTATGCTCATTACATTTTAGTTTTACAAAGACTACTAATTCATCAGCCTGCACCCCATGATTTACTACTGCGTAGTTACATGATGGTCAAAAAAGGCAGAGAGACGGTAAGAATGACATAATAAAGATACATTCTGTGGAATAAAAAACATTTTTAAGTCAGCCTAATTGTATCTTTAAAAAGCTGTTTCTGCCAAAACCAGGTGTGAATCTTATACAAATCAATTTCCCAACAGGCCAGTAAAGTACTTTAAGTACACAAGTAAAAATAAAATTTAGTGCCAGCGTTAGTGTCATATTTGGTTCTCATTTACATTTTAGTCATACTCAACACTGATTAGGCACACAGCATTAAGTTTTAAAAAATAATGAATTGTTTACAAGATTATTATTACTAGACCTATAACTACTATACTCTCCTCTTTGGAGATTTCAGTCATCGCAGTAAGATTAAGAGCAAGTTGTTGGTCAAATGATACCTGAACACAGAATAAAAAAAAGAGAGAAAAAAAAAGTAAAGAAACTGATTAACCAGCACACTTTTAATTAGCCTAGGGATAATACGCAATCACGGGGAGAGACTGGAAGCATGAAATTTTGGAAAAGGACTTCAGAGATAATCTAATTTGTTGTTCTAGAAAAGGCTGAGAACTATTAATCTAGTCCAATTATCTCATTTTTCAGACGAGAAACCAGAGATTAAGAAGAAAGAGAAGTGTGAAGGTAACAACTAGCAGAGCTGTTACCCAAAGGGCTCTCACACCTCCAGTGCCCTTTCTGCATATAACATATACTATACTATGCATTGGATTTGTACCTGGGTAGAGAAATTAAATCTTTCCTTCATTTTTCGGTTGCTAGTGGCTCCCTCTGGTATTTTCCCTAAGTGTGCAAGTAAGATTCCTGCGAGCTAGGAATCTTTACTCCGGGGGATCAATAGTGAGATCCCCGCAAGCTAGGAATCTTTACTCCAGGGATCAATAATCCTTTCCTACTTGGGTACTGGTTATGCCTTAGTGGCAGAACTTCATGCCCCAAATCTAGAAGTTACAAAAGGTGGAGCTAAAGAAAAAGGTGAGTCAAAAGAAAACGTGAGCTACAGTGCTTGCCACTTCAGTCTTGTTTAAGACTTTGCTAACTAAAACATATTCTTCCCTTTTTCTAAGTTTGAACTAATAGGTAAACATTTACATGCTCTCCAATTATTTCATGTGTAGTGTGTCTCTCTAACTGGATAAAACAGGCAGGAATCATATCTTATTTATTATTTTTTGAGACAGAGTCTCGCTCCATTGCCCAGGATGGAGTGCAGTGGTGTGATCTCGGCTCACTGCAACCTCCGCCTCCCAGGTTCAAGAGATTCTTGTGCCTCAGCCTCCCCATTAGCTGGGATTACAGACAGCCACCATGCCTGGCTAATTTTTGTATTTTTCAGTAGAGATGGGGTTTCACCATGTTGGCCAGGCTGATCTCGAACTCCCAACCTCAGGTGATCCACCCACCTCGGCCTCCCAAAATATTGGGATTACAGGCATGAGCCACCACACCTGGCCAGGAATTAGATCTCAGATTTCAAAATACTTCCAACTTCTATAAAGAACTCAATAGCTAATTGTTGACTTGTAAGTCAAGGAAGTAGAATTATATACAAGATTTAAAAACATACACACAGAGGGTTCAATAATCTGGTATGGATGGGACACAGAAAACAGAATTGTAGATCGGGCGCAGTGGCTCATGCCTGTAATCCCAGCACTTTAGGAGGCCGAGGTGGGCGGAACACGAGATCAAGAGATCGAGACCATCCTGGCCAACATGGTGAAACCCTGTCTCTACTAAAAATGCAAAAATTAGCCGGGCGTGGTGGCGCTCACCTATTAAAAAAGGTAATTGTATCTTTTCTGAAAAATGTTTAAAAAAAGAAAAAATTGTTTTTTTACCCTTTTCATTTATTCTTGGCAAATAATGCCACGTGGCAATTTTACTTTCACATCTTCACCAGTGCATCATTTTAAAAAAGCAATAATCAGCCTCTCAAAATAATGGCATAAATAAAAATGTATAGGCATAGTGCAAATCCCACAACTTTAACCCAACTACTTCCTCTATATTTATGGGAACAAAACTAAGTGACACTTTACAAAGCCAAACAATGAGAAGAGAATCATCTGGGTAGCTTGATTCTCTTGCTGAAGGAGACCACAGCATGGACTCTGGATTCCAATTCTGATTTGCCACTCACTAGCTATGAGTCCTGAATAAGTTCTCTATACCTGTTTTCTTAACATGGGAAGAAAGTATACATTTTGTACGATTCTTCGGGAGATTGAAGAGGCAAATGTACACAAAAGTATCTGGTGCATGCCAATTAGTATTAAGTTTCCTGTTCTTTTCTCATTTGGCACTGTTGTTTTCTCTTCTCCAGTTCCTTCCGATACCAATTTCAAAAAAGTATTCCTCTCACTTTTTTCCCACTAGTTTTCTTCTTCTTCTTCTTTTTTTTTTTTAAATTTGAGATGGAGTGTCGCTTTGTCGCCCAGGCTGGAGTGTAATGGTGCGATCTTGGCTCACTGCAACCTCTGCCTCCCAGGTTCAAGCCATTCCCCTGCCTCAGCCTCTGAGTAGCTGGGATTACAGGTGCACGCCACCACACCCAGGTAATTTTTGTATTTTTAGTAGAGACGGGGTTTCACCATGTTGCTCAGGCTGGCCTCGATCTCCTGACCTTAGGTGATCTGCCCACCTCCGCCTCCCAAAGTGTTGGGATTACAGGCATGAGCCACCGCGCCCGGCCTTCCTGGTAGTTTCCATTCCATCTCCCTGTATTTTTCTCTTATCACTCTCGAAGTCTATCTTTCTTGTTCTTTTCCTCCCTAGCTTTTTTTTTTTAAACACTCCTTTCAAGCTGTGTCCAACACCCACAAGGAATGACTATTTTTAACTAATCTTACTGACCTCATTTAATCTATTCAATAAAACCTCTGCCCTAAGGAGCAAAGAAACTTGCAGAGGAAGTAAGGCAAACTGGAAGAAGCATACTGTCAGCGGATTAAATTCTTGAGCAAGGCAATACTCCTTATGGATTCTTCCCATGTACAATCCGTAACTCTTCCCATGGGCCTTTATATCAACCCTAAGATAATTACACTCCTGCCTCAAAATAAAATAAAATAAAACCCACCACATCTTGTATTGTAGACATCCCAGCTGCATGTTAAGCTGAGTGAAAGTACCATGCTGTCTTTTAAATCACTTTATATCTACTTAATCATCCCACAGTAACCCGAGTTGAAGAAGTTACTTTGGTTTCTCATAAATGAATATGCACGTGCTGAACATATCGGAAAGAACCACACCCTCTCACTGATGAACACGTTGGCAGTTCTCCCAACTGTTTTATCAAGAGAAGCTAGAAGGTAAAGAAAAGGAAACAGAGCCCTATAGGAAAAATGATTGACTTCACACGTTTGAGCGATTTGGGCTTCAGCTATGACTTTGCTGGAGTACAGATGGGTGCCATCAGAGCACAAAGCTGAGCAAACCTCTCTTCTTACCCTGTGCCCTCCCTGAATTTTTGGATTTCTGAGCTTGTCTACTACCAACAAATGTTTTACCCTCCAGTGCACCTTTGACAGTATACAGCTCTATTTTTCAAACGGCAAGTATGTTATCCAAGTTCAGAGATGCAACTGAGGAATTAACATGAAAACCATCTTTCACTCAATAAATCAGAAGCTGCTAGTTAAGTAAGCCTCAAGAACCTAAGAAAAAACACCAAAGTGTAAGTATTACTCAGTCACCAATCTAAAGACAGAACTTTGACTCAAGGTAGAAATGAAACCGTAATTATATAAATATATTTATAAATATTTATACAATTATATACTTATACATAAGCACTTACACAGACTTAGAAAAAAATTTAAGAACATTAATTCAAAAGGACTCACTGAAGAATAAACAGATTTTTCCATGATTTCCTTGAGGAGATATAAAACTCATTCTTTAGGGAGAGTTCCTCAAAATTCAACCATTAGAAACCATATCCTATAACTGTGTACTAGCAACACATGGCATCTTTTTTTCTTCTTTTCCCAAATCCCCTAATTGCCAAGAGAGCAATCTTAAAGTAGATGAAAACCTAAAGGTCTCTACGCAACATCTGAGGAACATACGCTCCTCAGATAAAAGAATCAATCTAAATCCTCAACTGACAAAAAGGTCCATTTAATATTTTTCATTTTACAAGTTAAAAGTTCTAGTTTTGCCACCAGAATCACGACTACCCCCCCTTCAGAGGACTCCATTTAAGCTCAAAATACGAAATGAGCATAGGGTGAAGTTGATGTGTAAATGGTATTCTACAGATTCAAGATGGCCTCTTCTAAAAACACTGAAGAAAGCTTTCACCAACTCTAATTTGATTTTGGGTTTTGTTGGCAGAAAAAGCCCAAGACATCTGAAAATTACTAGTAACCTCCGCCATCCTCCTTACTAAATGTTGTCTTCTGAATGGAGTTGAAAGGTCTTCCCCTTAGAGAGGCTTTCCGTTTTGATACCTTTTGAAAGAAAACAGCATGCGGACTCATGTTCAATTCAGTCACCAGAGCCTTTTAGAGACTATTCCAACCAGGGGCAAAAAATGAACCATTATTTCTAACCAAAAGAACATGGTTAGCAACTCTCAGCTGAATGGTTTTCTTTTTCCCCAGGGACATACCTAAGTATGCCTGAAACAACACAGGACAATCAATAACCATAGTGGTTACAATTCCAAGCCATTGTACTACATGATTATTGACCAGCTGCCTTCCTACAGATCACTGCAGACTCAGACAATGGAGGGCTCCAAAGGAACTAATATGCTGTGCTGGCAAAAATAGCAAGCACCTTCCTATCCCAGTCACCACGATAGGTTCACTTCATGTCCATTCTTGGACTAGCAGGATCAATACAGAGTAATAAGGAAAACTGTCTCAGGTTAGGACAATGAAAGTCACCCCATGCTATATGCTCCATATTTAACACTCATTCTGCCAATAACACATGTCATGGAAATAGTCCTTATAGCTGGGAACATGAAAATCCTTTGAAAAAGGTTTTTAAGTATGATGAGCAATCATTACAAGGGATGCTTTTTCCACGTAAACAAAAGCCTGGATATTTTGTTAAGCGACATTTCCACATGAAGAACACAACAAAACCAAACCCATGTTAGAGAATTTCTTCTCCCTGCTAAACACGGGGACTTACAAAAAAGGGAGGGTTGTTCTTACTCTGAATCTAGCCATTCCTTTGCCCGAAGAGTCTGGGGAGTAACGTTAACATTTGATCCCAAAAAAGTGCCGTGCAAGAGACCACTTACTGGAACACACAATTCCTGCTGCTAGTACTAGGAGAGGTCTTATCCTTACACTTCAGTTTGGTCACCAGATTAGGTAAGAAAGAAAAGTGTGGGGGGAGGGGGAGGCAGAAGGGTACGGAGTGGGGAGCGAGAAAACAGAAGAGGAGAAAGAAACAAAGGGGGAGAAAGAGACTGATTATAGGAGAGATCAAGAAATAAGAGAAGGAAGGTGACTTGCTTGCCCAACTTTGGCTCTGTGGTCCTATGAGCCAAAATGCATACTTAGTGACATGTATCTCACAGGAAAAGGGAAAAAAGGGGTAAGCTGAGAGAGGTCAAGCCATGGTGTTAATTTCTTTCCTGTACAAAGACAGTCTCTTGAGGACAAAGGCCTGCCTCTTGCAATGTAATATCATAGTCCAGATGAGATAATTTCCTTCGAGGAAAGTTGGTGAGAAGTTCAAAACGTTCATTTGGGTATCCTTTAGACTGCACGTGCTTCACCAAAGCCTATAAAAACAAGAGAAAGACAAAGCCATTAGACGGAAAAAGAGGAAAGAGCATATTAGTGAATTAAATAGAAAACATTCTCTTTTTAATCATATTAGATCAGCTATTAAATGTAAGTTCTTCTTTCATATAACCAAAGCTTGCCCTTGGGGAAGGGCCAATATAAACCTTTGGACGGGGAGATAAATCTGACCCCAATTACTTACAGCCATTAAGTGATACTGAAATACACAGTTATTATTTGGCTCCCCAATAAATATACCCAGTCACTATTCATAAAATTAAATTATTGTTCTCATTTTAAAACATTTTATCCGTTTTCCTTTCTCCCTTTTATCAAGGAAGATATGTCCTTCATTCTGCCTACACCCAATCTTGCCACCTGTGCACTGAATCTCTTCTTGCCTTCTCAGAAACTGGACCATTCCCATCTTTTGCAGGTTTCTTCAACATCTCCCTCTCTGCTTCCCATCAAACTTCAACACTGCTTGCATTTCAGTAACACAGTCTTCAAGAATCAGCCTAATTATCTCCAGCCACAGCAAACGGCCAGCAATGCCTGACGCAAGGGATTCATTCACAGGCTAAGCTAAGCTAAGCTAGTCAGACTCAAGATTCTGTTTCCAGCAGTTAAAAACAGAGGGTGTCGGGGCACGGTTGCTCACACCTGTAATCCCTGCACTTTGGGAGGCCAAGGAGGGGGACAGCTTGAGCACAGGAGTTGGAGACCAGCTGGGGCAACATGGCAAAATCCCATCTCATCAAAAAATATGGGCCAGGCATGGTGGCTCACCTGAGGTCAGAAGTTCGAGACCAGTCTGGCCAACATGGTGAAATCCCGTCTCTACTAAAAATACAAAAAAATTAGCTGGGCATGGTGGTGCGCACCTGTAATCCCAACTACTTGGGAGGCTGAGGCAGAATTGCTTGAACCTGGGAGGCTGAGGTTGCAGTGAGCCAAGATCATGCCACCCGCACTCCAGCCTGGGTAACAGAGCCAATCTTCATCTCAAAAAAAGTAAAAATAAAAATAAAAACTAGCCGGGCATGGTGGTGTGTGCCTGTAGTCCCAGCTACCGGGAAGGTCAAGGTGGGAGGAGAATGGCTTAAGCCTGGCAGGCAGAGGTTGCAGTGAGCCAAGGTCGTGCCCCACAGCACTCCAGCCTGGGCAGAGCCAGATCGTGTCTACAAGAAAAGGAAGAAAAAAACAAAAACAACACAAACCAAAAACCACAGAAAGCTCATCAGCTGTGTTAGATGAAAATGCCCGCAGCGTCACCATGATGAACCACGTGCGAGCTGAGGAATAAACAAAAGCCACCAGTATGCAGAGAATGGTGTGAAGCAGAGAATCCCAAGAGAAAACCTACAGGCCCCAGAAGAGAAACATAGAGAAAAACAGACACAGTTCTTAAACACTTTGCAGTTCCAGCTGCTGGAAAACCACTATCCTCTTCAAATAACCCCAGTCGTCCTTTTCCAGAAGTAGTCATTTCAGTTGGGTTTCTATTCCATGCAGGCATGAAACAGAAAAATCTTCACTGGAACATACCTTACGTGGCTTACCTAATTTAATCTGGGAAGGAAATAAACTAATTAGAATTAAGATTCACAACCGGGTGCTCCCACCTGTAATCCCTGCACTTTGGGAGGCTGGGGAAGGAGGATGACTTGAGCTCAGGAGTTCAAGACCAGCCTGGGTAACATAGTGAGAACCCTTCTCTACAAAAAAGAATTTTAAAAAATTAGCTGGGTGTGGTGGCACACACCTGTAGTCCCAGCTACCTGGGAGGTTGAGGTGGGAGGCTCGCTTGAGCCCAGGAGGCAGAGGTTGCAGTGAGCTGAGATTGGGCCACTGCACTCCAGCCTGAGCGACAGAGCGACCCTGTCTCAAAACAACCAACCAACCAACAACAACAAGATGACTCACCACAGTTTGCAGTTAGAGATCAGACTAAACATCTAACACCTCTTTCTTTTTTTTTTTTTTTTTAAACAGAGACAGGGTCTCGCTTTGTTGCCCAGGCTGGTCTCAAACTCCTGGACTCAAGTGATCCTCCCACCTTGGCCTCCCAAAGTGCTGGGATTACAGGAGTGAGCCACTGCACCTGGCCTCCCACACCTATTTCAAAGAATTATCAAGCAAAGCTCACTGAACTTACTCCAATGAATTAGCTTCTCTGCTTCGAGAAAATGCTTCCAACGCCCTGTTTCATTGTGCTTCAAGTTACTGAAGGTCTGCGGCAACCTTGTGTCAAGTGCCTCTATTGGCTCCATTTTTCAAACAGCATGTGCTCACTGCCTGTCTCTGTGTCACCTTTTGGTAATGCTTGCAGTTCATTATTTTATCTATTATAATGAACTGTGAGCAGTTACCTTTGATGTTACTATTCTGCTTTTGGGCACCACAAACCACGCCCACACAAGACCGCAAACTTAATAAAGAAGTATGTTCTGACTGCTCCACCTAATGGGAGTTTTCCCATCTCTCTCCCTCTATTCAGGCCTCCTTATTCCCGGAGACATGACAGTATTGAAAGTAGGCCAATTAATAACCTACCAGTGTAGGCCTCTAAGTACCCAAGTGAAAGGAAGTGTCCATCCTCAAAATCAATCAATTGCTAAAAATGATGAAGCTTAGTGAGAAAGGCACGTGGAAAGCTGAGACAGACACAAAGCTAGGCCTCTGGCACCAAACAGCCAAGCTGTGAATGCAAGGAAAAGTTCTGGAAGGAAATTAAAAGTGCTACTCCAGTGAACACACAAATGATAACAAAGCAAAACAGGCCGGGAGCAGTGGCTCACACCTGCACTTTCAGAGGCTGAGGTGGGTGGATCACCTGAGGTCAGGAGTTCGAGACCAGCCTGGCCAACATGGTGAAACCCCATCTCCACTAAAAATACAAAAGTTAGCTGGGCGTGGTGGTGGGCGCCTGTAATCCCAGCTACTCGGGAGGCTGAGGCAAGGAGAACTGCTTGAACCCGGGAGGCGGAGGTTGCAGTGAGCTGAGATCGCACCATTGTACTCTAGCCTGGGTGACAGAGCAAGACTCTGTCTCAAAAAAAAAAAAAGGAAAGAAAGCAAAACAGCCTTACTGCTGTGCTGCTGAAAAGGAGAAAGTTTTAGTGGTCTGTACAGAAAAATCAAACCAGTCACACATTCCCTTAAGCCAAAGCCTAATCCAAAACAAGGTTCTAACTCTTTTCAATCCTATGAAGGCTAAGGGAGTTAAGGAAGCTACGAAAGAAAAGCTGGAAGCTAGCAGAGGTTGGTTCATGAGGTTGAAGGAAAGAAGCCATCTCCATAACATCAAAGTGCAAGGTGAAGCAGCAAGTGCTGATGCAGAAGGTGCAGAAACTTATCTAGAAGATGTAGTGAAGACAGTTCACGAAGGTAACAACACTAAATAACAGATTTAAGTTTGACAAAACAGCCTTCTATTGGAAGAAGATGCCATCAAGGACTTTCACAGCTAGAGAGAAGTCAGTGGCTGCACTCAAAGGTTCAAAAAGGCTGACTTTCTTGTTAGGGGGTAATGCAGCTGGTGACTTCCAGTTGAAGCCAATGCTCATTTAACATTCCAAAATCCCAGGTCCCTTAAAAATTATGTTAAATCTACTCTGTCTGTGTTCTGTAACTGCAACAACAAAACCTGGAAAGACAGCACATCAATTTACAGCATAACTTACTAAATATTTTAAGCCCACTGTTCAGACCTACTGCTCAGAAAAAAGATTCAACATATTACTGCTCATTGACAACGCACCTAGTCACGTAAGAGCTCTGACGAAAATGCAAATAAAAATGAATGCTGTTTCCAGTCTGCTAACCCAACATCCATTCTGCAGCCCATGGATCAAGGAGTCATTTCAACTTTTAAATCTTATTTAAGAAACACATTTTGGCCAGGCACGGAGCCAAATCTCAACACTTTGGGAGGCTGCGGTGAGAGGATTACTTGAGTCCAAGAGTTTGAGACAAGACCTGGCAACACAGCAAGAAACCATCTCTAAAAAAAAGAAAATTAATTGGGTGTGGTGATCTACTCAGGAGGGTGAGGCAGGAGGATCACTTGAGCCGGGGCGGGGAGTCAAGGTTACAGTGAGCTATGACCACTGCACACCAGCCTGGGCATAAATACAGATTCCTTTGATGAATCTGGGCAAAGTAAACTGAAAATCTTCTGGAAAGGATTCAGCAGTCTAAATACCATTAAGAACATTCACAACTCATAGGAAGTCAAAATATCAACATGAACAGGGCTTTGGAAGAGGTTGATTCCAACCCTCATGGATGACTTTGAGGGGTTTAAGAATTCACTGGAGGAAGTCACTGCAAGTGGGGTAAAAACTGCAAGAGAACTAGAATTAGAAGTGGAGGATGGCGATATGACTGAATTGCTGCAATCTCATGATCAAACATTAAAGGGAGGGGGGTTGCTTCTTATGGATGAGCAAAGAAAGTGATTTCTGGAGATGGAATCTACTTCTGCTGAAGATGCTTTTAACACTGTTGAAATGACAACAAAGGATTTAGAATATTGCATAAACTTGGTGGATAAAATTGCGGCAAATTCTGAGAAGACTGACTCCAGTTTTGAAAGAAGTTCTACTGTGGGTAAAATACTATCAAACGGCAGCACATGCTACAGAGAAATTTTTTGTCGAAGGAAGCAACTGATGCAGCAACTTCACTGCTGTCACATTTTCAGAAACTGCCACAGTACCCATCACCCCAATCAGTCAGTAGCCATCAATATCAAGACCCTCCACCAACAAAAAGATGACTCACTGAAGATTCAGGGGATCATTAGCACTTTTTAGCAAAAGCTTTTTTTAATTAAGTTATGTGCTTTTTTTTAGACATAAAGCTACTGCACACTTAATAGACTATGGAATAATGTAAACATAACTTTTATATGCACCAGGAAACCAAACAATTTGGGACTCGTCTTATTGCAGTGGTCGGAACTGAACCAAAGCAAGCCTGTACTTACTAGCAGTTTAGCTTGCTCTGGAAGAGTGATCTGTTCCCTTTTTCCATCTGGATACCGCAACATCAGCTGTGCTTTTGGTCCTAAAGGAAGGGTTTAAAAAAAAAAAAAAAACGGGATACAGGAGTTTAAGACAGAATATTAGTTTAAATAAATATGTAAATAAATACAGCCATTCAGCAATTACTCAAGTGTTTTGCTGGAGTGCAGTGGCGTGATCTCAGCTCACTGCAACCTCCGCCTCCCTGGTTCAAGCCACTCTCCTGCCTCAGCCTCCCAAGTAGCTGGGACTATAGGCACGTGCCACCACACCTGGCTAAGTTTTGTATTTTTAGTAGAGACAGGGTTTTGCCATGTTGGCGAGGCTGGTCTTGGAACTCCTAACCTCAGTGATCCACCACGCCCGGCCCCAATATCTAAGTTTGAAGTAAAGTATGTCTAAATGTAACTTACCATTTACATCTATCCCCTCCACTACTCCATCTGCTTTTTCAGGTGGCATCTCCAGTATCTCTGAATCCACAGCTGGCAATCCTTGGTGGTTTGTGGCTGTTCCAGGATCAGTTCTGACTGGTGGCTCAGTCAGCGGCCTTCTATTCTCCTCTTTTCTATGCCCCAAATCTTTGTGGGGAGACTTTCTGGACTTGGCAAGATTCTCTACCTCTTCTTCTTCATCAGAGCCACAAACGGATATGAACTCCTCACTGCCAGAAAAAAGTTCAGATTCAGATTCTTCATCTGAGCGGCTATCCTGTTTTGTCTGTGTTGAATCAAAATGTGTTTCTTGTAAGGAGGCTCTGATGGCAGCTTCTAGCTGGCTGTCTTCACTTGCATCTATAAGGCTCTCCTGTGAGATGGAGTCATAAAACACAGGAAAAAGAACAAGTTAAACCAAAAAACAAGTCAAACGGCATAAGAAATATAATAGCTTGCCATTCATTATTATGTTCTGCTGACTGTATCCCTTCTACTTTAAGAGCAAGGACTGTGTCTTACACAGCCAAATTGGAATGGAGATATATATATGTGTGTGTATATACACACACACACGTTTTTGTTGTTTTGTTTTGTTTTGTTTTTGAGATGGAGTCTCACTCTTGTTGCCCAGGCTGGAGTGCAGTGGCACGAACTCGGCTCACTGCAACCTCAGCCTTCCCAGGTTCAAGCGATTCTCCTGCCTCAGCCTCCCAAGTAGCTGGGATTACAAGCGCCCGCCACCACGCCCAGCTAATTTTTATTTATTTATTTTTTTGTATTTTTAATAGAGATGGGGTTTCACCACATTGGCCAGGCTGGTCTCAAACTCCTGACCTCGGCCTCCCAAAGTGCTGGGATTACAGGCGTGAGACACCGCACCTGGCACATACATACATACATACATACATACATACATACATACATACATACATAAATATATATATACACATATTTTTTTTTCTTTCTTTTTTTAAGAGACAGGGTCTAAGTTCCCCAGGCTGGTCTTGCACTTCTGGATTCAAGTAAGCATACGCATTTTTTTAAATATCAAAATGAAGGCCAGGCCGGGTGGCTCATGCCTGTAATCCCAGCACTTTGGGAGGCCCAGGTGGGTGGATCAAGAGGTCAAAAGATCGAGACCATCCTGGCCAACATGGTGAAACCCCGCCTCTACTAAAAATGATTAAGCTTAGTGAGAAAGGCATGTGGAAAGCTGAGACAGACACAAAGCTAGGCCTCTTGCACCAAACAGCCAAGCTATGAATGCAAGGAAAAGTTCTTGAAGGAAATTAAAAGTGCTACTCCAGTGAACACACAAATGATAACAAAGCAAAACAGGCCAGGCACAGTGGCTCACACCTGCACTTTGGGAGGCTTGAGGCGGGCAGATCACCTGAGGTCAGGAGTTCGAGACCAGCCTGGCCAACATGGCGAAACCCCATCTCCACTAAAAATGCAAACATCAGCTGGGCATGGTGGTGCGCGCCTGTAGTCGCAGCTACTCAGGAGGCTGAGGCAGGAAAATCACTTGAACCCGGGAGGCAGAAGTTGCCAGAGATTGCGCCACTGCACCCCAGCCTGGTGACAGAGCGAGACTCCATCTCAAAAAAAAAAAAAAATCAAAACGAACAAAATCAAGAAAAGTTTATCTATTACCTGCCTAGAGAAAGACAAGAATTAAAAGTTTTAACTATAAAGTCAAAACACCATTCTTTAAAATGACTAAAACATAGAGACAAATGTTTACTTTGTTCACCACTGCATTCTTCAACTAGTAATTCCATTAATTACAATGAAGGTTTTCATTATGATAACAAGAAATGCAAACTTCTACAGTTTTTCCCTTGGTAAAGTTCTAATGCCACAGATTTTACTAAACTTAATGAATCACAAAATACGTTGTTTGAGTGGAACTTACTTAGCTCCTGACTCAAACATACTATAGAGGAAAGAAATCGTAAGATAATCTAAAATTGAACACTGGATATTTCAGGATATTACAGAATTACTGCTCATTTTTAAGGGTATAATAATGACATTGTGATAGTATTTTTAAAAATAAAAAAGGCTTTATCTTTTAAATATATATGCCAGAGTATTAATTAATGAAACAATGAATTCTGAGATTAGCTTCAAAATAATTCAGATGTGATGGGATACAGAGGAAAGAAGACTGGCCATCTGCTGATAATTACCGAAATTAGCTAACAAAGAGGCTCAATAAACTACTTCAACTTTTGAATATGCTTAAAATTTTCCATAATAAATAGGTAAAAAAAAAAAGTGTGAGTTGCTAATAAAAAACTAAAGAAACCACATTTTGGCTTTTACTATCAGGCAATCATGTAGCAAAAAATTAAAGGGAAAAACATTTTTTTGCTGGTTGTTTTTTTTTTTTGAGAGAGGTTCTACTCTGTCACCCAGGCTGAAGTGCAGTGGCACAATCTCAGCTCACTACTATCTCCACCTGCCAGGCTCAAGCAATCCTCCCACCTCAGCCTCCCAAGTAGCTGGGATTACAGGCACACACCACCACACCCGGCCAAAGGAAAATTTTAAAGTAAACTTCAGGCGAACTTACCACCCCTAAAAAGCAAGTAGAGGTGTCTATGTGACATGCAATGGCTTAGGTGGATTGTAAATTTATAGCAATGACATTGCACATATAGCATGTAGCTCGATTTTAAAAATTGTGGCCATGGCAGACACTGTCAGGCTCCTATTGAATTTCATTCTCCTCTGATTTCCTTACTTATATAACCCTATTTAAGTTTATAAAACGTGTTCAACTAAAAAATTCATTTTACTAATTTCTCTTGTAGCTAGAAAATAGTATTGAGCAATAGCAATTCTTATCGAAAAATTATAGAATTAAATGCTTATATTAGAAGAGAGAAAGGTATCAAATTAATGACCTAAGCTTCCCCACCTTAAAAAAAAAAAAAAAAAGAGTATACATCCAGGAAAAGAAAATAAAATTAAGCTCAAAGAAAACACAAATTAATAAATGACCTAGAAAGCAAATACAATAGAGAAAAACAAAAAAAACCCACCAAAATCCCAAGAGCAGTTTTTTGTTTTGTTTTGTTTTTTGTTTCTTAAGAGACAGAGTCTTACTGTTGCCCAAAGACTGGAGTGCAGTGACTACTCACAGGTATGATCATAGCACACTACATTCCTGAACTCCTGGGCTCAAGCAATATTCCTGCCAAGCAGATGGGACTATAGGCACATGCCACACCCCAGCTGGTTCCGTAAGATCAATAAAACTACTAAGCCTCTGGCCAGACAGTCGGGGGAAAAAAGGGAAGCCACAAATTCCCAAAAACAGAATTAAGAGAGGGGACAACTACAATCTCTACATTCATTCATGGCATCACGAGGGACTATAATGAACTCTGACAATATAGTAAAATGAACAAATCCCTAGAAAGATACAACTTGCTAAAGCTTATCCAAGAAGAAACAGATACCAAGTAGTCACGTATCTACCGATAAGATTGAATTTGTAGTTTAAAATTTTCCACCAAAAAAAAACTCTAGGCCCATGTAGCTTCACTGGTAAATGTCATCAAACATTAAGGAAGAAATAACAACAATTCTACAGACACTACTGCAGAAAACAGAAGAGGAAGAAATACTTCTCAATTCATTGTGAGGTCAGCATTAACATGTTACCAAAAGCAGAAAACGACATTATAAAGCATTACATGGAAGAAAGGAAACAACAACAACAAAATGCTCTCAAAAAAACTATAAATCAAGCAGGAGAACTGCTTGAGGCCAGGAGTTCGAGACCATCCTGGCCAACAAGATTTCTATACTATCCCTTAGGGCTTTTCCTTAAATAGGCACTTTATTATAGGTGATAACTGAAGGAAGTGTTCCTCACATCTTCTAAAACTATTTTTAGGCTGGGCATGGTATGGTGGTTCATGCTTATAATCCCAGCACTTCGGGAGGCCAAGGGAGGAGAATTGCTTGAGCTTAGGAGTTTGAGATCAGGCTGAGTAACATATTGAGACCCTGCCTCCACAAAAAATAAAAAATTAGCCAGGCATGATGGTGCACACCTGTAGTCCTAGCTACTCAGGAGGCTGAGGCAAGAAGATTGACTGAGCCCAGGAGTTCAAGGCTAGCAAGTTTTTTTTTTTTTTAAAGTTCTCTCAAGGCTGCAAAGACTACAGTGAGTTAATATCATGCCACTGCAGTCCAGCCTGGGCAACAGTGTGAGACCACATCTCAAAAAATACAATACAATACAATAAATACAATACAATACAATAAAAATGTTGCTAGGTGTGGTGCTCACACCCAGAATCCCAACATTTTGGGAGGCTGAGGCGGGAGGATTGCTTGAGGCCAGTTTGAGACCAGCCTAGACAACATACGGAGGCCTCCGTCTCTACAAAACTTTAACAGCTTAGCTGGCATGGTGATGCACATCTGTGGTCCCAGCTACTTAGGAGGCTGAGGTGGAAGGATCGCTTGAGCCCAAGAGGTGGAGGCTGTAGCGAGCCATGATCACACCACTGCACTGCAGCCTGAGAAATGGAACAAGATCCTGCCCAAAGAAAAAAACAGGACGGGCGCGTTAGCTCACGCCTGTAATCCCAGCACTTTGGGAGGCCGAGAAGGGCGGATCACTTGAAGTCAGCAGTTTGAAACCAGCCTGCCCAACAAGGCGAAACCCCATCTCTACTAAAACTACAAAAATTAGCCAGATGCAGTGGTGTACGTCTGTAATCCCAGCTACTTGGGAGGCCAAGGCAGGAGAATCGCTTGAACCCAGGAGGCGAAGGTTGCAGTGAGCCAAGATCACACCACTGCCCTCTAGCCCTAGCAACAGAACAAGACTCTGGCTCAAAAAAAGGAAAAAAAAAAAACCAACAAAACAAAACTATTTTTATCCCTACTGCTATCAAAGCCAAACAGCCATGAAAACCAATGTGAGATTGCTGTATCTTTGCAAGTTCAGTCTCTTATTTGCAACCAATCTTGATACCAATTATCAAACATGTCTACCTAGTAATAGTATATTCTAGAAATTAAGTATAGAAGTAAATTCTAGGAGGGCCAGAGAGCCAGGCCCTAAAGCTATATTAACCAATAAAAATGCTCAACTATACCATGACAGTTGTTTCAGCAAAAACAAAAAACACCACTTCCAGCCGGCTGTGGTGGCATGTACCTGTAGTCCTAGCTATTCGGGCAGTTGAGGTGAGAAGGCTGCTTCAGCCCAGGAGTTCTAGGACAGTCTGGGCAAAACAGCAAGATCCCACTCCAAAACAAAAAACAAAACACACAAAAAAACCAACCACTTTCACTGCTATTTAGACCTGGATATCAGAAGCCCTCCCAGAGCTGCCCCTCAGGAAGTAGACACCTTTACCACTAGGCTTGCCAGGTCAGTCCTCCTGCCCAACCTATTCACATTGCTTCCTTCTAAATCCAGATCCTGGGGCATCTGCCTGCACTCTAGCTGCAAGACAGACTGGCAGGAGTATGAGTATCATGATTTCACCAAGAAGATGGAACTCTCATGTGGGAAATTATCAAAATATAAGGAGGATATCTAAGATGCTATAGCCACAGTGATAGTTGTCCACTAGTTAGATTATCTTTACCATCTTAACATCGAACATTTTATATAAGATGCTTATGACCAATTACATTTATTTTCCCATCACCACCTCCTAATTATACTTACTGAACGGGCACATTTTTTGGGGGGACTGCTAGAAAGTCCATCCAGTTGTCCATGTTCACCCAGAAATCCCGTCACTTGGTCCAAGAAAGAAGATACATCTAACTGGTGCCATTCTACTAGCTTCTGACCTAAGGATTAAAAACCAAGATCTATAAATAAATATAATATCTAGAATCCTTCTGAACATTCTCCAGGATCTATAAATATAATACCTAGAATCCTTCTGAACACTCTCATTAAGTATCTCTTTCAGCATATGCATAGATTAAAAACCTGGATCTATAAAGGTAATATCTAGAATCTTTCTGAACATTCTTATTAAGTATCTCTTTCAGCATATGCATAGATTAAAAACCAGGATCTATAAAGGTAATATCTAGAATCTTTCTGAACATTCTCATTATCTCTTTCAGCATATGCATACATTAAAAACCAGGATCTGTAAATATAATATCTAGGATCTTTCTGAACATTCTCATTAAGTATCTCTTTCAGCACATGCATAAAGTGTACTGTAAAGACATATCCTCTCCACCAGCTTATGCTACATAGTGTCTTCATAACCTAGAAGTCACATCAATTATACTCACCTAACAGATTCCCACCCGTAATGATAGGGCAACTATCTTATCTGCTGCTATCACTTACTGCCATTTAGGAAGAAGAGATTCAGACAAAGCAATATCTATATAAAACACCATCAATTAATAAAACCAGCTCCACCCTCTGCTTCTCAGGTGGGATTACAACTAGTATCTGGGCAATCTTAATATTTTAATGATAAAAAAAACTTTTGTCTTGTTTTGTTTTTTTGAGATGGAGTCTCACTCTGTTGCCCAGGCTGGAGTGCAGTGGCGCGATCTCGGCTCACTGCAACCTCCACCTCCCGGGTTCAGGCCATTCTCCTGCCTCAGCCTCCCAAGCAGCTGGGACTACAGGTGCCCGCCACCATGCCCGGCTAATTTTTTTTGTATTTTTAGTAGAGATGGGGTTTCACCGTGTTAGCCAGGATGGTCTGGATCGCCTGACCTCATGATCCGCCCACCTCGGCCTCCCAAAGTGCTGGGATTACAGGCATGAGCCACCACGCCCAGCTGGTAAAAAAACTTTTAAAAAATCCCTTAAAAAAGGTAAGATGAACATATCAGTTATTCTTCAAAAGAACAGAACTGCACAAACATAAAATACTACCATCTCCCAATGTTGCCAGAAAAAGATGTCCTAAATACATACATCAATAGATGTTTAAATAATTATAAAGGGAAAAAAACGAAACCTTCACCTAAATTACTGCAATTCTGAAAACAGATCCAGTCAAATATTAAAGATCAATCATTTAGGTAACTGAAAGACAAGTAATAGGTTAAAAGCTGCGTGCTGATATAAATCTTACCTGTCCGTGGGTCCAATATGGAAACATAGGGGAAATCCCCTAACTTATAAAACTGTATGTATCTCTGACCTTCCTCACTGTCATGATAAACCTGTTAAATCATTGATATAAAAAAAAAAGTCAGCCTCTAAGAAAAGAACCAACTATAACCTTCTTATACACCAACATCAATTAGCTCTCCAAATATACCTCCGGCCTATGTATTAAGATCTCACTCCTACACTAAAAAGAAAATAAATCTGGTTTGAACTCCTTCAACTTCCCACTTCCAGCACTCTCTGGAAATTTACCATAAACATATTGACCCATTCCTCCTCCTTTCCCAGTTCAGATGAGGTATTATTCTTCCTGCTCAAGTTATCTGTCAACTATGTCATTCATAACTCTCAACCATATACATCTTAATAAATCACAATATATTAAGATTATGGGCCAGGCATGGTGGCTCACGCCTGTAATCCCAGCACTTTAGGAGGCCGAGGCGAGTGGATCACAAGGTCAGGAGATTGAGACCATCCTGGCCAACATGGTGAAACCCCGTCTCTACTAAAATACAAAAATTAGCCGGGCCTGGTGACAGGCGCTTGTAGTCCCAGCTACTCGGGAGACTGAAGCAGGGGAATCGCTTGAACCCGGGAGGCAGAGACTGCAGTGAGCTGAGATCGTGCCACTGCACTCCTGCCCAGCGACAATGCAAGACTTGTCTCAAAAAAAAAAAAAAAAAAAAAAGATTATGGCTCCACATGGTGGCTCGCACCTATAACCCTAGCACTTTGTAGGGCAGAGGCAGAGGACAGCTTGAGGCCAGGAGTTTGAGACCAGCCTGGGCATCTCCACGAGAAGTTTTTTTGTTTTTTTTTGTTTGTTTGTTTGTTTTTAAATTAGCCAGGTTTAATGGTGTGCACCTATAGTCCCAGCAACTCAGGAGACTGAGGTGGGAAGATCCCTTGAGCCTATAGGGGTTAGAGCCTGCAGTGAGCTATGACTGCACCACTGTGTTCCGGCCTGGGTGACAGAGCAAGACCCTGTCCATTTATTTAAAAAAAAAAAGAAAAAAGAAAAGAAAAGAAAGAAAGAAAAAAAGATTATAAGCTCAAGAGTCCAGCACAGTGCTAAGCAAAGAGCTGCTCGATCAATATTTGTTGAATAAAATACAAGGAATTTTACCATTAAAGTTACATTAAATTTAGGGGCCTGTAAAATATAAACAGGCAAATTAATAACATTAATAGCATATCTTACAGTAGGGGAAAAAATTAAGCTCCTTCATAAGTTTTTATTTTCTATAACTTTTCACAAAATAAAAAATAAAAAAATTGAGCCGGCACGGTGATTCATGCCTATAATCCCAGCACTTTGGGAAGCCAAGGGAAGCAGATGGCTTGGGCCCAGGAGTTCGAGACGAGCCTGGGCAATATGGCAGGACCCCATCTCTACAAAAAAAAAAAAAAAAAAAAAATTATATGGGCATAGTGGTGCATGTTTGTGGTCCCAACTACTCAAGAAACTGAGGTGGAAGGATCATTTGAGCCCAGGAGGTCAAGGCTGAGCCATGTTCATGCCACTGCATTGCAGCCTGGGTGACAGAGCAAAACCCTGTCTCACAGTGGGGGAAAAATGATACAAGGTCTGTAACCTTATCTCATTAGCTGGGAAGACTAAAGTGACATGTCTAAGAACACAGAGTTAAAAAGTATCAAACTCAAGCTAAAATCTAAGTCTTAGCCAAATGCTTCCAATTACCTCAAGATCTTCTATACCTGCACTGTCTAATACAGCAACCACTACCCACAAGTGGCTACTGAAGCACCTGAAATCTTGCTACTCCAAATGGAGAAGGGGTGTAAGTATAAAATACAAACCATATCTTGAAGACTCAACACCAAATAAATGCAGATCATCTCATTATTTTTGTATTAGTTATATAGATATATTGATTTAACCAAATACATTATTACAGTTAATTTCATCTATTTTGATTAATCTTTTTTAATGTGGCTACTGGAAAAATTTAAATTATGTGTACAGCTTACAATATATTTCTACTGAACAGTACAGTTTGTTTGTTTTGTTTTGTTTGAGATGGAGTCTAGCTCTATTGTTCAGGCTGGAGTGTAATGGTGTGATCTTGGCTCACTGCAGTCTCCGCTACCCGGGTTCAAGTGATTCTCCTGCCTCAGCCTCCCGAGTAGCTGGGATTACAGGTGCCTGCTGCCACACCTGGCTGATTTTTTGTATTTTTAGGAGAGACAGGGTTTCACCATGTTGGCCAGGCTGGTCTCAAACTCCTGACCTCAGGTGATCCGCCGGCCTCAGCCTCCCAAAGTGCTGGGATTATAGGCGTGAGCTACTGCCCCCAGCCGGCTTTACCTTTTTTTAAATGTCTTAATTCATTATAACCCAATTCCTTTCCCTCAACAACCCACACTACAAAAGTAAAATTCTACAAAACTTCTGATTAACTCTCCTTCTCACCTGCCAGAAAATGAAATGTTCCCGGATAATATTCTTCACAGCTTCGTTGCTCCACACATCGCGGTTGAGGCACTGACATGCAAAGTCTTGAACATTTTGAATGTTTATCATCAGCCACTTATTTTGCATCTGGCCACACTCTTTGGCCTGCAAGAGTAAAGTTACACATTTGTTAGAAATAATTTCTACTTAGTGACAGATGTTTCCGTAGTTGTTCAGAGGTTGTTGTCTTTCATTAAAAATACTAAGTTTTTGCCAGATACGACATCTAGAGTTTTCAGCATTTATACATTCTATATATTTACTTCGCATATGCATTTATAGCTATACTGTCCATTTCAAGCACTGCTCAAATTTAAATGAACTCATTTCTCTTTTATCCAGTTATTTGTTATAATAGCTGATTCTCTCTCTCTCTCTCTCTCTCTCTCCTTTCTTTCTTTCTTTCTTTTTTTTTTTTTTTTGAGACAGAGTCTAACTCTATTGCCCAGGCTAGAGTACAGTGGGGCAGTCTCGGCTCACTGCAACCTCCACCTCCTGAGTTCAAGTGATTCTCCCGCCGCAGCCTCCCAAGTAGTTGGGATTAAAGGCGTGCCCCAACACGCCTGGCTGATTTTTGTATTTTTAGTAGAGATGGGGTATCAACATGTTGGCCAGGCTGGTCTCGAACTTCTGACCTCAAATGACCCGTCCACCTTGGCCTCCCAAAGTGCTGGAATTACAGGTGTGACTCATCATGACCGGTAATGGCTGAATTTTTAATGTATGTTTAAACATCTTTACCTGAAAAGGATTCAACAAACTTAAGATCAACAAGTCACGTAATTTTATTCTCTTGCAACCTCCATCAACAATTTTTTTTTTTTTTGAGACGAGCTTTGCTCTTGTTGCCTAAGTCGGAGAACAATGGCACGATCTCGGCTCACTACAACCTCCACCTACTAGGTTCAAGTGATTCTTCTGCCTTAGCCTACCGAGTAGCTGGGATTACAGGTGTGTGCCACCATGCCTGACTAATTTTTTATATATTTTTAGTAAAGAGACGGGGTTTCACCATGTTGGCCAGGCTGGTCTCAAACTCCTGACCTCAGGTGACGCACCCATCTCAGCCTCCCAAAGTGCTGGGATTATAGGCGTGAGCCACCGCGCCCAGCCAATTATACTTCTTTTTAATGAATGCAATTGGTGTGTATATTTTACTTTGTTTTCTTCAACATCATTTCTGGAACATTTTTAAACATCATATTAATCTCAGTTATTAGGCATATATGCTGTTTTGGAGAATCACCCTAAACATTTTAGTAAAAACTGCTGAGAGTTTTTTCTCTTAAGAGTTGTCTTCCTAGGAGTAGATTCCAAAAATTGGGATTACAAGGTCAAAGAATGTTTGAGAATGATCCCCAAACAACTCTACGATTCGTACAACAGATATCGATACATCAATCGTTAGTGCGTACTTTTTGCCTGTCAGTCCCTTGTCAGCATAAAGACCCATGAAATGCTGCTGAGTGGAAAACAATGGCAGAAAAGCAAATAAGCAAATGCTGCCTCAAATCTTTGCCTAGGAAAGAACAGTGACACGAAACCACAGTTTTGGAATAAATTTATCCTAGAACAGTATTCTTTTCCAAATCAGTGTGACATGGGAAAATCTTAAGAATCAATGAATTTGGTGTAATAACAATCCAAGAACATACTGGACATCATTTTGTGGGTACTGAAAAATGTGAGACTGAGAATATCTTCTGTTTTAAGAAGGTCTACATCATCTCACAAATAGCTTTTTTTTTGTATGAATCCCCCAGAATAAATTATTTTCTTTTTTTGTTGTTTATATTTTTTGTAGAGACAGGGGTTTCACTATGTTAGCCAGGCTGGTTTGGAACACCTAGCCTCAAATGATCCTCCTGCCCTGGCCTCCAAAAGTCTTGGGATTACAGGTGTCAGTCACCCCACTCAGCCCCAGAATAAATTATCTTCTAATATTTGCTTACTGATTCCATGGGTGAAAACCCAAGGTCTAAAAAGAAATATCCTCATATTGAGCCAGGAAGCCGCATTTAACTGGTCAAAGGCTTATTTTAAAATATACAAATATAATAATTCCTTGCTTATAGGAAGTAATATTTCCATTTACTTCCTTATAGGACAAAGATTTAAAAAGTGAATGATAAATGAATAATTAAGCTGCTTTAACTACAGAAACAGTATTTGAAAATAAACGGAAAAATGACCATACGTTCTAGAGATAGACTAGAGCGCACATATTCCTACAGCAGGGTAAATTTACATAAGTCTGCCCCAAAAACAATGACAAGAAAAAAATGTACAAAACTGAAAATGAATAAAAGTCCAGAGTTTAAAATGGAAGAGTCACTTTTTTTTTTCGCTTTTAAAAATTTGTTTACTCACATTCATGCTTTCATTATCTCAGATTTATTCATTCAACAAATACTGAGTACCTATCATGTTTCAGGTACAGTTATAGATATTAAAGTAATAGCAGTTCTAAAATATAAAAATCTTTGCCTTTGTGAAGCTTCCAATGGGGGAGAAACCTAATACTAGCAAAAGAAACTTGGAAATGATACTAACCACATTGAAGATATTGTTAAAAAATTGTTACTGCTAAAAGGAAGGGTGCAAAGACACAATTTTCAAACAAAACAACAATATTGGGAGGGAATAAAAGAGTCTTGAATAGGCCAGGTGCAGTGGCTCACACCTGCAATCCCAGCACTTTGGGAGGCCGAGGTGGGTGGATCACCTGAGGTCAGGAGTTCAAGACCAGCCTGGTCAACATGGTGAAACCCCATCTCTACTAAAAACACAAAATTAGCCAGGCATGGTGGTGGGCACCTGTAATCCCAGCTACTCAGGAGACTGAGGCAGAATTGCTTGAACCTGGGTGGCAGAGGTTGCAGTGAGCCAAGATCGTGCCATTGCACTCCAGCCTGGGCAACAGAGTGAGGGGAGGGGAGGGGAGGGGAGGGGGAGGGGAGGGGGGGAGGGGGAGGGGGAGGGGGAGGGGAAGGGAAGAAGGAAGGAAGGAAAGAAAGAAAGAAAAAAAGGAAGGAGGGAAGGAAGGAAGGGAGGGAGGGAGGGAGGGAGGAAGGAAGGAAGGAAGGAAGGAAGGAAGGAAGGAAGGGAAAGGAAAGGAAAAAGGAGAGGAAGAAAGAAGAGTCTTGAATAAGTCTAGAGATCTCATGTACAACATGAGGACTATACTTAATAATATCGTATTATACATTGAAAATGTGCTGAGAGCAGATTATTAGGTGCTCTTACCACACACACACACACACACACACACACACACACACACACACACGTAAAAAGACAATTATGGAAGGTAAGGACAGGTTAATTTGCTTGACTGTAGTAATCATTTTACTATGTATATCCAATCTTCATGTTATACATCTTAAATATGTACAGTAGTCTGGAGCAGTGGCTCACACCTATAATCCCACTGCCTTGGGAGGCCAAGACAGGAGGATTGCTTAAGGCAAGGAGTTCGAGACCACCCTGGGCAACACAGCAAGACCCCATCTCTAAAAAGATTTAAAATAATTGAATATATGCAATTTAAAAAGAGAGAGTCTTAAAAATAATCTAAGTATACCAATTATGTGAATCAAGGACTGGAGGTGAGAGTGGGCCATGAGAAAAATAATCTCCTCATGGAAGATTATCATTGAAGAAGATTACTGGAATCCTTGGAATCTATTAGGTTGTTCTGAATCAACATTTCAAAGCCATTATAATGGAGACCCCAGAGTAAAACAGCGGGAGACTAACGTCTGTCCCAGTACCAGCCAGATCAGGAAGGCATGATAAAAAAGGATTTAGGCCTGGCATGGTGGCTCATGCCTGTAATCCCAGCACTTTGGGAGGCCGATGTGGGCTGATCATTTGAGCCCAAGAGTTCAAGACCAGCCTGGTCAACATGGCGAAACCCCATCTCTACTAACGATACTAAAATTAGACGAGCGTGGTGGCGCATGCCTGTAATCCCATCTACTTGGGTAGCTGAGGTACAAGTATTGCTTGAATCTGGGAGGCAGAGGTTGCAGTGAGCTGGGATCATGCCACTGCACTCCAGCCTAGGCAACAGGGCAAGACTGCCTCAAAAAAAGAAAGAAAAAGAAAATGAAGGATTTGAACAAATTTAATATGTTTCAGTAAGTATATATGCATAAAGTCGAGAAGAAAATATATTAAAATATACACAGTACTTTTTTATGGAAATGGAAATTACAATTTTATTTTTCCTTGTTCATTTTCTAAATTTCAATGATTTGTCTAATTTGAATAAAACTAAATGTAAACAATATAAAGTTTAATCAGAAAAATGTTATATATTGCCAGGGGCAGTGGCTCTTGCCTGTAATCACAGCACTTTGGGAGGCCGAGGTGGGTGGATCACCTGAGGTCAGGAGTTCGAGACCAGCTTGACCAATATGGTGGTGAAACCTCGTCTCTACTAAAATTTAAAAAATTAGCCAGGCGTGGTGGTGTGTACCTATAGTCCCAGCTACTCGGGAGGGTGAGACAGGAGAATCGCTTGAACCCAGGAGGCGGAGGTTGCAGTGAGCTGAGATCGCGCCACTGCACTCTGGCCTGGGCGACAGAGCGAGACTCTGTCTCAAAAAAAAAAAAAAAAAAAAAAAGAAAAGAAAAGAAAAAGGAAAAATTAGTTACTAACTAGGCTCTTCTTCACATTTTCGGCTACATATTTTCACTTGCATTTATACTAAATACTTATGAAATTAACAAAATATTCTTAGTAATTAGAGCTAGGTGCATGTGTAATGGGATACCAATTTAAAATGTGGGTTTTTTTTCCTCATGAAATAAGAAATATTGGCCGGGTCCAGTGGCTCACACTGGTAATCTCAGAACTCTGGGAGGCCAAGGCTGGTTAATCACTGGAGCTCAGGAGTTCAAGACCAACCTGGGCAACGTGGCAAAACCTCATCTCTACAAAAAATACAAAATTTAGCCAGGCATGGTGGCACACGCCCATAATCCAGGCTACCTGGGGGACTAAGTTGGGCAGATCACTTGAACCCAGGAAGTTGGGGCTGCAGTGAGCCGAGATCGTGCCACTGCACTCCAGCCTGGGTGACAGAGTGAGACTCTGTCTCAAAAAAAAAAAAAAAAAGGAAGAAATATTACCGAAATTGTTCTGATTCTTTCTGTACAATATTCCTTCTGGCATAATCATGATTTCATGAAGGCTAATTAAACTGCTTTAGACCCCGTGGACACACAACAGTCAAGAAAATGAAGTCCCTGTGTTCATACAGCTTACAGCATGGTGGGGAAAGAGGAAAACGTAGGAAACATTCCCTTGCCCAGGTCAGACCATTTGGCCTCAGTGCTCTGCTCACTCAGCTGGTCTTCTTGACGGTACCAGCTCTTTCCAACATCAGTATGCTCACACTGTATTTTCCCTCAGACCTCCCCATCGTTCGCATTCCCTCGCTTCACTAAGGTTTCTATTCATATCTCATCCTTTCAGAAATCTTCCCTAATCTTCCTAATACAGTCCTTTCTCTTCACAATTATAAACATATGTGGAACCTACGAAATCAATCTGGCTTTCAATTTGGCTGTAAGAAGAAACTGAATTTGGCAACACGGACACATCTACTTGCAAAGGACACTAGAAATTTCCAGATGCTTAACTCAATTCAGACCACACACATCAAATGGCCCTGAACAAAATACAGCCCCCCTCTCTCCTTCCCTTATTGTATTTTATTCTCCTTTTTTTTTCTTTTGAGACAGGGTCTCACTGTGTTGCTCAGGGTGGAGGGCAATGGCACCACCACAGCTCACTGCAGCCTCAACCTCCTGGGCTCAAGCGATCCTCCTACCCCAGCCTCCTGAGTAGCTGCTGGGGACCACAGGTGTGCACCACCACGTCCAGCTAATTTTTTCGACTTTTTGTAGAGACAGGGTTCCACCATATTGCCCAGGCTGGTCTCGAACTCCTGGGCTCAAGTGATCTACTCCCTTCAGCCTCCCACCAAAGTGCTGGGATTACAGGCATGAGCCACTGCATCCAGCTACATTTTATTCTTTCTCCAAGCAACTACTATAACTTGAAATGAATGTCACACTCTCTCTCTCCATCAAAGACAAACATATGTATTATATTCACTGTTATTATATATATGTGTTTGTGTGTGTTTGTTTTACGTTATTTGTTTATAGTCTGTTTCTCCTACTAGATTATAAACGCTACAATGGCAAGGATTTTATATAATTTACCACTATCTCCCTGTGGCAGAAACTGCTTATAGGTACCAAATAACCCATTCTCCCCTTGTCCCTCTTACTTATAGAACCTCCAGTTTTTAACTAAGCATCTGGATTTCCTAGTGTCCCTTGCAAATGGGTGTAGCCATGCTGCCAAGTTATAGTAGATGGAATGTAGACAGAAGTGCTGGGTACAACTTCTAGGTTGTTCCCTTCAAGGGAAATTTGTACCCTTATCAGCTCCTCCCTCTTCCATGCTGTTTATTTTTTTTTAAGTGAAAGCAAGTTTATTAAGAAAGTAAAGGAATAAAGTATGGCTATTCCATAGGCAGAGCAGCCCAAGGGCTGCTGGTTGCCAATTTTTATGTTTATTTCTTGCTTATATGCTAATCAAGGAGTGGATTACTTATGAGTTTTCCAGGAAAAGGTTGGGCAGTTCCGAGAACTGAGGGCTCCTCCTCCTTTTTAGACGATACAGGGCAACTTCCTGATGTTGCCATGGCATTTGTAAACTGCCACTGCACTGGTGGGAGTGGAGCAGTGAGGATGACCAGGTCACCCTCATCACCATGTTGGTTTTGGGGGATTTTAGCCAGCTTCTTTCCATGTTGGTTTTGGGGGGTTTTAGCCAGCTTCTTTCCATGTTGGTTTTGGTGGATTTTAGCCAGCTTCTTTCCATGTTGGTTTTGGGGGATTTTAGCCAGCTTCTTTCCATGTTGGTTTTGGGGGGTTTTAGCCAGCTTCTTTCCATGTTGGTTTTGGGGGGTTTTAGCCAGCTTCTTTCCATGTTGGTTTTGGGGGGTTTTAGCCAGCTTCTTTCCATGTTGGTTTTGGGGGATTTTAGCCAGCTTCTTTCCATGTTGGTTTTGGGGGATTTTAGCCAGCTTCTTTCCATGTTGGTTTTGGGGGGTTTTAGCCAGCTTCTTTCCATGTTGGTTTTGGGGGATTTTAGCCACAGCTTCTTTCCATGTTGGTTTTGGGGGGTTTTAGCCAGCTTCTTTCCATGTTGGTTTTGGGGGGTTTTAGCCAGCTTCTTTCCATGTTGGTTTTGGGGGGTTTTAGCCAGCTTCTTTCCATGTTGGTTTTGGGGGATCTTAGCCAGCTTCTTTCCATGTTGGTTTTGGGGGATTTTAGCTTCTTTACTGCAACATGTTTCATCAGCAAGGCCTTCATGACCAGTTTCTTGTGCTGACCTCCTATCTCATCCCATGACTTAGAATGTCTAACCTTCTGGGAATGCAGCCCACTAGGTCTCAGCCTTATTTTACCGAGCCCCTATTCAAAATGGAGTTGCTCTGTTTTAAATGCTTCTGACATTTCCTCCCTCCCTTTTACAAGAGAACCCTTAATCCTAAGGGTTGTAGAGGGAAAAAGATTCAACTTCCGTAACTTCTTCATGCTTAATAGGGACGATGGTATTCCTGTCTATTAGATCTCTTGCATTCAGAGTAGAGAGGACCTCAGTCTGAAAGCATCTGTATGGCGAGCGCCATTCCTAACTCTTGAGTCCCAACAGAAGGTGGTATCCTTCAGCCAACTGGTGCTCACAGATGATTTTCCTTTGGGTTGGGGGTATCTTCGGTATCATCCCTTCTGTGATTCGCCAGAAAGATGTTACTGGGCCCCACCACTTAACCAAAGTTAGCCTTTGGGTTGGGGGTTTCCTCAGTATTGTCCCTTCTGTGGTCGCCAGAATGATGTTACTGGAAAGGGGTCCGGATCCAGATCCCAAGAGAGGGTTCTTGGATCTAGTGCAGGAAAGAATTCAGGGCGAGCCTATAGAGTAAAGTGAAAGCAGGTTTATCAAGAATGTGAAGGTCATGCCTGTAATCCCAGCACTTTGGGAGGCCAAGGCGGGTGGATCACGAGGTCAGGAGATCGAGACCATCCTGGCTACCAGGGTGAAACCACATCTCTATTAAAAAATACAAAAAATCAGCTGAGCGTGGTGGCGGGCGCCTGTGGTCCCAGCTACTCAGGAGGCTGAGGAAGGAGAATGGAGTGAACCTAGGAGGTGGAGCGTGCAGTGAGGCAAGATAGCGCCACTGCAGTCCAGCAGTCCAGCCTGGGCGAAAGAGCGAGATTTCATCTCAAAAAAAAAAAAAAAGAATGTGAAGGAATGAAGAACAGCCACTCCATAGGCAGAGGAGCCTTCCATGCTGTTTAGTAAGCAAACATGGTGGTAAGGCAACTTGAATCATGCAGACAAGGGCAAGCAAGACCTAGGGGATGGCAGAACAAGACAGAAAAAAATTCTGCAACTCTAATAACTTTACAGAGCTAATCATCCTAATAGCCTGGACTTCCATCTTGCTTAAGCTACTGTTTGTTTGTGGTGGGGTGTTCCAAGATGGCCAAATAGGAGCAGCTGCAGTCTGCAGCTCCCAGCATGATCAATGCAGAAGACGGACGATTTCTGCATTTCCAACTGAGGTACCTGGTTCATCTCACTGGGACTGGGTGGAGAGCGGGTGCAGCCCACGGAGGGCGAGCTGAAGCAGGGCAGCGTGCCGCCTCACCTGGGAAGTGCAAGGGGTCGGGGAAATCATTTCCCTTTCCTAGCCAAGGGAAGCCGTGACAGACTATCTGGAAAAACGGGGCACTCCCACCCAAATACCGCATTTTTCCCAAGGTCTTAGCAACTGGCAGGCAAGGTGATTCTCTCTCGTACCTGGCTTGGCAGGTCCCACGCCCATGGAGCCTTGCTCACTGCCAGCGCAGCAGTCAGAGATTGATCTGTGAGGTGGCAGCCTGGCTGAGGGAGGGGCGTCCGCCATTGCTGAGGCTTGAATAGGTAAACAAAGCGGCTGGGAAGCTTGAACTGGGCAGAGCCCACCACAGCTCAACAAGGCCTACTGCCCCTAAACTCCACCTCTGTGGGCAGGGCATAGCTGAACAAAAGGCAGCAGACAACTTCTGCAGACTTAAACGTCCCTGTCTAACAGCTCTGAAGAGAGCAGTGGTTCTCCCAGCATGGTGTTTGAGCTCTGAGAACGGACAGATGGCCTCCTCAAGTGGGTCCCTGACTCCCGTGTAGCCTAACTGGGAGACATCTCCCAGTAGGGGCCGACAGACACCTCATACAGGCGGCTGCCCCTCTGGGACGAAGCTTCCAGAGGAAGGCTCAGGCAGCAATATTTGCAGTTCTGCAGCTTCTGCTGGTGATACCCAGGCAAACAGGGTCTGGAGTGAAACTCCTGCAAACTCCAACAGACCTACAGCTGAGGGACCTGACTGTTAGAAGGAAAACTAACAAACAAAAAGGAATAGCATCTACATCAACAAAAAGGTCATCTACACCAAAATCCCATCTGTAGGTCACCAACATCAAAGACCAAAGGTAGATAAAACCGCAAAGATGGGGAGAAACCAGAGCAGAAAAGATGAAAATTCTAAAAATCAGAGCGCCTCTTCTCCTCCAAAGGATCGCAACTCCTTGCCAGCAACGGAACAACGCTGGATGGAGAATGACTTTGACAAGTTGACAGAAGTAGTCTTCAGAAGGTCGGTAATAACAAACTTCTCCAAGCTAAAGGAGGATGTTCGAACCCATCGCAAGGAAGCTAAACACCTTGAAAAAAGATTAGATGAATTGCTAACTAGAATAAACAGTGTAGAGAAGAACTTAAATGACCTGATGGAGCTGAAAACCACAGCACGAGAACTTCGTGACGCTTGCATAAGCTTCAATAGCTGATTTGATCAAGTGGAAGGAAGGGTATCAGTGATTGAAGATCAAATTAATGAAATAAAGTGAGAAGACAAGGTTAGAGAAAAAAGAGTAAAAAGAAACAAACAAAGCCTCCAAGAAATATGAGACTATGTGAAAAGACCAAATCTACGTTTGATTGGTGTACCTGAAAGTGACGGGGAGAATGGAACCAAGATGGAAAACACTCTTCAGGACATTATCCAGGAGAACTTCCCCAACCTAGCAAGGCAGGCCAACATTCAAATTCAGGAAATACAGAGAACACCACAAAGATACTCCTCAAGAAAAGCAACCCCAAGACACATAATTGTCAGATTCACCAAGGTTGAAATGAAGGGAAAAGTGTTAAGGGCAGCCAGAGAGAAAGGTCAAGTTACCCACAAAGGGAAGCCCATCAGACTAACAGCAGATATCTCTGCAGAAACCCTACAAGCCAGAAGAGTGGGGGCCAATATTCGACATTCTTAAAGAAAAGAATTTTCAACCCAGAATTTCATATCCAGCCAAACTAAGCTTCATAAGTGAAGGAGAAATAAAATACTTTACAGACAAGAAAATGCTGAGACATTTTGTCACCACCAGGCCTGCCTTACAAGAGCTCCTGAAGGAAGCACTAAACATGGAAAGAAACAACCGGTGCCAGCCACTGCAAAAACATGCCAAATTGTAAAGACCATTGATGCTAGGAAGAAACTGCATCAACTAATGGGCAAAATAACCAGCTAACATCATAATGACAGGATCAAATTCACACACAATAATATTAACCTTAAATGTAAATGGGCTAAATGCCCCAATTAAAAGACACAGACTGGCAAATTGGATAAAGAGTTAAGACCCATCAGTGTGCTGTATTCAGGAGACCCATCTCACATGCAAAGACACACATAGGCTCAAAATAAAGGGATGGAGGAAGATCTACCAAGCAAATGGAAAGCAAAAAAAATGCAGGGGTTGGCCGGGCACAATGGCTCATGCCTGTAATCCCAGCACTTTGGGAGGCCAAGGCAGGCAGATCACGAGGTCAGGAGATCGAGACCATCCTGGCTAACACGGTGAAACCCCGTCTCTACTAAAAATACAAAAAAATTAGCTGGGCGTGGTGGCAGGCGCCTATAGTCCCAGCTACTCGAGAGGCTGAGGTGGGAGAATGGCATGAACCCAGGAGGCAGAGCTTGCAGTGAGCCCAGATCGCACCACTGCACTCCAGCCTGGGCCACAAAGCAAGACTCCATCTCCAAAAAAAAAAAAAGAAAAAGAAAAAAACACAGGGGTTGCAATCCTAGTCTCTGATAAAACAGACTTTAAACCAACAAAAATCAAAAGAGACAAAGAAGGCCATTACATATTGGTAAAGGGGTCAATTCAACAAGAAGAGCTAACTATCCTAAATATATATGCATCCAAATTCAAAAAGCAAGTCCTTAGAGACCTACAGAGAAGAGACTTAGACTCCCACACAATAATAATGGGAGAATTTAACACCCCACTGTCAATATTAGACAGATCAATGAGACAGAAAGTTAACAAGGATATCCAGGACCTGAACTCAGCTCTGCAACAAGCAGACCTAATAGACATCTACAGAACTCTCCACCCCAAATCAACAGAATATACATTTCTTCTCAGCACCACATCACACTTATTCCAAAACTGACCACATAGTTGGAAGTAAAGCACTCCTCAGCAAATGCAAAAGAACAGAAATCACAACAAACTGTCTCTCAGACCACAGTGCAATCAAATTAGAACTCAGGATTAAGAAACTCATTCAAAACTGCACAACTACATGGAAACTGAACAACCTGCTCCTGAATGACTACTGGGCACATAACGAAATGAAGGCAGAAATAATGATGTTCTTTGAAACCAATGAGAACAAAGACACAACGTAACAGAATCTCTGGGACACACTTAAAGCAGTGTGTAGAGGGAAACTCATAGCACTAAATGCCCACAAGAGAAAGCAGGAAAGATCTAAAATTGACACCCTAACATCACAATTAAAAGAACTAGAGAAGCAAGAGCAAACACATTCAAAAGCTAGCAGAAGGCAAGAAATAACTAAGATCAGAGCAGAACTGAAGGAGATAGAGACATAAAAAACCCTTCAAAAAATCAATGAATCCAAGAGCTGGTTTTTTGAAAAGATCAACAAAATTGATAGACCACTAGCAAGACTAATAAAGAAGAAAAGAGAGAAGAATCAAATAGACGCAATAAAAAATGATCAAGGTGATATCACCACTGATCCCACAGAAATACAAACTACCACCAGAGAATACTATAAACACCTCTATGCAAATAAACTAGAAAATCTAGAAGAAATGGGCAAATTCCTGGACACATACACCCTCCCAAGACTAAACCAGGAAGAAGTTGAATCTCTGAACAGACCAATAACAGGCTCTGAAATTGAGGCAATAATTAACAGCCTAACAACCAAAAAAAGTCCAGGACCAGACGGATTCACAGCCAAATTCTACCAGAGGTACAAAGAGGAGCTGGTACCATTCCTTCTGAAACTATTCCAATCAACAGAAAAAAAGGGAATCCTCCCTAACTCATTTTATGAGGCCAACATCATCCTGATACCAAAGCCTGGCAGAGACACAACAAAAAAGGAGAATTTTAGACCAATATCCCTGATGAACATTGATGCGAAAATCCTCAATAAAATACTGGCAAACCGAATCCAGCAGCACATGAAAAAGCTTATCCACCATGATCAAGTCGGCTTCATCCCTGGGATGCAAGGTTGGTTCAACATATGCAAATCAATAAACATAATCCATCATATCAACAGAACCAACGACAAAAACCACATGATTATCT
The DNA here is from genome assembly GCF_000001405.40 of Homo sapiens. Lineage (NCBI taxonomy): Eukaryota > Metazoa > Chordata > Mammalia > Primates > Hominidae > Homo > Homo sapiens. Next base: position 196,384,713 of record NC_000003.12, read on the forward strand.
CAATAGATGCAGAAAAGACCTTCAACAAAATTCAACAGCCCTTCACGCTAAAAATTCTCAATAAACTAGGTATTGATGGAACGTATCTCAAAATAATAAGAGATATTTATGGCAAACCCACAGCCAATACCATACTGAATGGGCAAAAACTGGAAGCATTCCCTTTGAAAACCGGCACAAGACAAGGATGCCCTCTCTCACCACTCCTATTCAACATACTGTTGGAAGTTCTGGCCAGGGCAATCAGGCAAGAGAAATAAATAAAGGGTATTCAATTAGGAAATGAGGAAGTCGCTCTCCCTCTCCCTCTCCCCTTTGCACGGTCTCCCTCTGATGCTGAGCCGAGGCTGGACTGTACTGCCGCCATCTCGACTCACTGCAACCTCCCTGCCTGATTCTCCTGCCTCAGCCTGCCGAGTGCCTGGGATTGCAGGCGCGCGCCACCACGCCTGACTGGTTTTCGTATTTTTTGGTGGAGACGGGGTTTCGCCGTGTTGGCCGGGCTGGTCTCCAGCTCCTGACCGTGAGTGATCTGCCAGCCTCGGCCTCCCGAGGTGCCGGGATTGCAGACGGAGTCTCGCTCAGTCAGTGCTCAATGTTGCCCAGGCTGAAGTGCAGTGGCGTGATCTCGGCTCGCTACAACCTCCACCTCCCAGCCGCCTGCCTTGGCCTCCCAAAGTGCCGAGATTGCAGCCTCTGCCCGGCCGCCACCCAGTCTAGGAAGTGAGGAGCGCCTCTGCCCGGCCGTCATCCCATCTAGGAAGTGAGGAGCGTCTCTGCCCAGCCACCCATCGTCTGGGATGTGGGGAGTGCCTCTGCCCCGCCACCCCATCTGAGATGTGAAGAGCGCCTCGGCCCGGCAGTGACCCCGTCTGGGAACTGAGAAGTGTCTCTGCCCCGCCGCCACCCACTCTGGGAGGTGAGGAGCCTCTCTGACCGGCCGCCCCCTCTGAGAAGTGAGGAGCCCCTCTGCCCAGCAGCCGCCCCGTCTGGGAAGTGAGGAGCCCCTACGCCCGGCAGCCGCCCATCAGGGAGGTGGGGGGCAGCCCCCACCCGGCCAGCCGCCCCGTCTGGGAAGTGGGGGGGGTGGGGGCGCCTCTGCCCGGCCGCCCCGTCTGGGAAGTGAGGAGCCCCTCTGCCCGGCCGCCACCCCATCTGGGAGGTGTACCCAATAGCTCATTGAGAACGGGCCATGATGACGATGGTGGTTTTGTCGAATAGAAGGGGGGGAAATGTAGGGAAAGGAAGGAGAGATCGGATTGTTACTGTGTCTGCGTAGAAAGAGGTGGACATAGGAGACTCCATTTTGTTCTGTACTAAGAGAAATTCTTCTGCCTTGGGATGCTGTTTATCTATGACCTTACCCCCAACCCCATGCTCTCTGAAACATGTGCTGTGTCCACTAAGGGTTAAATGGATGAAGGGCGGTGCAAGATGTGCTTTGTTAAACAGATGCTTGAAGGCAGCATACTCGTTAAGCGTCATCACCACTCCCTAATCTCAAGTACCCAGGGACACAAACACTGCGGAAGGCAGCAGGGCCCTCTGCGTAGGAAAACCAGAGACCTTTGTTCACATGTTTATCTGCTGACCTTCCCTCCACTACTGTCCTATGACCCTGCCACATCCCCCTCTCCGAGAAACACCCAAGAATGATTAATAAACACTAAAAAAAAAAAAAAAAAAAAAAAAAGGAAATGAGGAAGTCAAATTGTCCCTGTTTGCAGATGACATGATTGTATATTTAGAAAACCCCATCGTCTCAGCCCAAAACCTCCTTAAGCTGATAAGCAACTTCAGCAAAGTCTTAGGATACAAAATCAATGTGCAAAAATCACAAGCATTCCTATACACCATTAACAGACAAAGAGCCAAATCATGAGTGAACTCCCATTCACAATTGCTACAAAGAGAATAAAATACCTAGAAATCCAACTTACAAGGGATGTGAAGGACCTCTTTAAGGAGAACTACTAACCACTGCTCAACGAAATAAAAGAGGACACAAACAAATGGAAGAACATTCCATGCTCATGGATAGGAAGAATCAATACCTGAAAATGGCCATATTGCCCAAAGTAATTTCTAGATTCAATGCCAACCCCATGAAGTTACCAACGACTTTCTTCACAGAACTGGAAAAAACTACTTTAAAGTTCGTATGGAACCTAAAAAGAGCCCACATTGCCAAGACAATCCTAAGCAAAAAGAACAAAGCTGGAGGCATCATGCTACCTGACTTCAAACTATACTACAAGGCTACAGTAACCAAAACAGCATGGTACTGGTACCGAAACAAATATATACTATATCTGTTTCAAACTATACTACAAGGCTACAGTAACCAAAACAGCATGGTGCTGGTACCAAAACAGATATACAGACCAATGGAACAGAACAGAGGCCTCAGAAATAACACCACACATCTACAACCATCTGATCTTTGACAAACCTGACAAAAACAAGAAATGGGGAAAGGATTCCCTATTTAATAAATGGTGCTGGGAAAACTGGCTAGCCATAGGTAGAAAGCTGAAACTGGATCCCTTCCTTACACCTTATACAAAAATTAATTCAAGATGGATTAAAGACTTAAATGTTAGACCTAAAACCATAAAAACCCTAGAAGAAAACCTAGGCAATACCATTCAGGACACAGGCATGGGCAAAGACTTCACAACTAAAACACCAATAGCAATGGCAACAAAAGCCAAAATAGACAAATGGGATCTAATTAAACTAAAGAGCTTCTGCATGGCAAAAGAAACTACCATTAGAGTGAACAGGCAACCTACAGAATGGGAAAAAATTTTTGCAATCTACCCATCTGACAAAAGGCTAATATCCAGAATCTACAAAGAACTCAAACAAATTTACAAGAAAAAAACAAACAACCCCATCGAAAAGTGGGCAAAGGATATGAACAGACACTTCTCAAAAGAAGACATCTATCTATGCAGCGAACAGACACATGAAAAAATGCTCATCATCACTGGTCATCAGAGAAATACAAATCAAAACCACAATGAGATACCATCTCATGCCAGTTAGAATGGCAATCATTAAAAAGTCAGGAAACAACAGATGCTGGAGAGGATGTAGAGAAATAGGGACGCTTTTACACTGTTGGTGGGAGTGTAAATTAGTTCAACCATTGTGGAAGACAGTGTGGCGATTCCTCAAGGATCTAGAACTAGAATTACCATTTGACCCAGCAATCCTATTACTGGGTATATACCCAAAGGATTATAAATCATGCTGCTATAAAGACACATGCACACGTATGTTTATTGCAGCACTATTCACAACAGCAAAGACTTGGAACCAACCCAAATGTCCATCAATGATAGACTGCATTAAGAAAATGTGGCACATATACAACATGGAATACTATGCAGCCATAAAAAAGGATGAGTTCATGTCCTTTGCAGGGACATGGATGAAGCTGGAAACCATCATTCTCAGCCAACTATCACAAGGACAGAAAACCAAACACCACATGATCTCACTCACAGGTGGGTATTGAACAATGAGATCACTTGGATACAGGGCAGGGAACATCACACACTGGGGCCTGTCGGGGGCTGGGGGGCTGGGGGGCTGGGGGAGGGATAGCATTAGGAGAAATACCTAATGTAAATGAGTTGATGGGTGCAGCAAACCAACATGGCACATGTATACCTATGTATCAAACCTGCATGTTATGCGCATGTACCCTAGAACTTAAAGTATAATAAAAGAAATAAATAAGCTACTGTTTGTTTTTTTTTTTTCCAGTCTCTCTCACATGCAGTCAAACCCTTACTCTTGATCACCTAGAACTAGGTCCTGCAACACAAGGCCTCAATAAATATGTATTGAGTGAACAAGTGAATTAATCAGTCTCTCTCATCTGGTTAGCATGAGCCAGAAAGAATCCTTGAACATGACCTACCTCTAGTTACACTAGCTTCTAAGCCTGTAAAACTGTGGCTCACATTTACATCTAATATGAGGAACAAACCTATGGGCCCTCCTTGGTCAGCCAAAGAGTATCCCTCTAATTTTTAACATTTATCTTTCTAAACTTCAATGACTTAATTTTGCTTGTTATCTCCCTAATTGTTATAAAACTAATACATGTATCATTAACCATAATGAAATACCTGCTTTTGGAAGGGAATATTTATTTCATTTAAAGTCTTGCAGATGGTTAAGTATAATATTATCAGTGAAAAAAAAAATGGACTGCTGTAAACACAGGCCATGAAATACAAGGCAAAAAAGGTGATATAACTTAAATTTCAGGGGACAACATCAAAAGAGATTCGTATTTTCCCTTAATGACCAAGCAGAAAAGTAACTGCTTTTTCACTCCAAAGTGACCAAACTAAATCAAGCTTAGTTACTGCATTACGTCCTAGAGCAACTCATAAGCTAATAAAAATAGAACACGTGCCAAAACAAACTAAGATCCTTTTCTGCCTTTAATATTGCTGCTATTCTCTCTCTCAATGGCTGTAGTATCACCAGAATACTAGAAAGGATAGGCAGCTGCCATGTTGAGACCATGAAGGAAAGATGAAGAAAACTGAGGAGACATCTAACCTGACATCTTTGAGCTTATGAATGAACAGCAATAATTTCTTCAACTCTAGGCTTATTACTGACAAAAAGAAAGCATTGTTTGGTCAAATTATCATCATTTGGGTTTTCTGTTACATGCAGCCAAACCACTTTCAAGGTTTTCTGATTCAGAAAATTGAAACTGGAGAGCACGCTGATATGGTTTGGAAATTTGTCCCCTCCAAATCTCACACTGAAATGTAATCCCCAGTGTTGGGGGTGGGGCCTCGTAGGTGGTGTTTGGGTCATGGGGGCAGACCCCTAGTGAATGGCTTGACCCCTTGCTCCTCGCACCATGTGCTACACCGGCTTCCCCTTTGCCTTCTGCCATGACTGCAAGCTTCCTGAGGCCTCACCAGAAGCAGATGTCAGCACAATGCTTTCTATACAGCCTGTAGAAACGTTGAGTCAAAATATACCTTTTTCTTTATAAATTGCCCAGTCTCAGGGATTCCTTTCTAGCAATGCAAGCAAACTAACACACAAGCTTACATTGAAATTCCTTCTCCTAAATACTTCATGTATGACAGTGTAAAAGTATATCAAAGGACACATTTAAAAAAAAATAATCATAACATATTCAAATATGCAGCTGATATACATCGGTTGTTTATTTTAAGAAATGGGGTTTCAGCTCATGCCTGTAATCCCAGCACTTTGGGAACCAAGGCAGAAGGATCACTTGACACCAGGAATTTGAGACCAGCCTGGGGAACACAGCAAGACCCCCTCTCCACAAAATATTTTTAAAATTGGCCAGGTGTGGTAGTGGGTGTCTGTAGCCCTACTTATTTGGGAGGTTAAGACCAGGGGATCAATTGAGACCATAAGTTGGAGGCTGCAGTGAGCCATGATTTTGCCACTGCACTCCATCCCAGGTGACAGAATGAGAACCTGTCTCAAAAAAAAAAGACAAAGAAAAGGGAAAGATAGGGTCTCACTATGTTGCCCAGGCTGGAGTGCAGTGGTTTTCATAGGCATGATCATCACACACCACAGCCTCAAACTCCTGAACTCAAGGGATCCTCCCACCTCAGCCTCCCAAGTAGTAGTTAGTTTGGGGCACCTGTTGGGCTTGATACACATCATTCTTGCAGTTATTCTTTGGCCTACAGGGTCCTAACAGGTAAGACTTAACTGAAGGCTGGGCGCGGTGGCTCACGCCTGTAATCCCAGCACTGTGGGAGGCTGAGGTGGGCAGATCATGAGGTCAGGAGTTTGAGACCAGCCTGGCCAATATGGTGAAACCCCGTCTCTACTAAAAATACAAAAAATTAGCCAGGCGTGGTGGTGCGCACCTGTTTTCCCAGCTACTCAGGAGGCTGAGGCAGGAGAATTACTTGAACCTGGGAGGCGGAGGTTGCAGTGAGCTGAGATCGTGCCACTGCACTCCGGCGAGACTCCATCTCAAGGAAAAAAAAAAAAAAAAGACTCAACTGAAATGTAACTGATTTACATCTATGGAAATGCTATTGTAATTCAAAAGAGCATTAACATGTTAATCAACACGAAAAGGCAAGCTGTTTGAACACCTCAACAGAAGAGTATCTAAAATCTTTACTAAACTCCTTCATTTAACATATGTGTTCCTCCTAATGCAAGAGAATGGGTCCCAAGGATTATTAAAAAGAATGATCTTTCCTCTGCCCTAAGTAAGTCTGTAAGTTAGCATACAACCAAGTAAACATACTCTGGAAAGTTTTTGTTTGGGTTTAGTCACGATAAAACCAAGAAGAACTGAGGGTGAATGTGTTCTCCAATTAGAGATATTCTTTTCAAACACATTACGATCCGCACAGAAATATAGACAAAAGACACCTATCAACAATTTACAAATGGCTAACAAACCACACACACTATTCTCAGTAGTAGTCAAAGATATATGAACAAGTGAGATATTTTAAAAAGCTATCAAAATGGCAAAGATTCTAAAATGACACCGCACAAGGCTAATAAAAGGATTTCATCAATCTCATATACTGCTGGTAGAAATATATTTCATATATTGCTGGTAGAAATATAAATCAATGTAACCTTTAGGCATATCATGTAGATATACTTATTATAATGCCAATTCCCTATACACTGACAATGGTTTTTTGTTCTTATAAAAATAAAAAATGCCACTGAAGGCCAGGTGCAGTGGCTCACACCTATAATCCAAGCAGTTTGGGAGGCTGAGGCAAGAGGATTGCTTGAACCTAGGCATTCGAGACCAGCCTGGGCGACACAGTGAGACCCTGTCTCTACCAAAAAAATTTTTTTAATTAGCTGAGTGTGGTGGCACATGCCTATAGCCCTAGCTACTCGGGAAGCTGAGGTAGGAGGATCCCTTGAGCCCAAGAGTTCAAGGCTGCAGTGAGCTATGATTGTGTCACTGCAGTCCAGCCTGGACGACAGAGCGAGACCTGCTCTAAAACAAGTAATTTTTTAAAAAAAGGCATTGAAAATGCAAAAGGATTCATAGTTAAGGCACTGACTCTCCAACAACTTACTGTTTCAAAGCTGCCTTTATGCATCAAATCAATGGGTGGCCGGAATAGATCTGCAAGGGTAGTTAATTTCTTATCGATAGCTCCTCCATTTCTTAATTCTTGTTCTTGCCGAACTATAATACAGAAGGATGAAAGTTTCAGTTAGCCATAATCATGAATCACACTGAAAAAAAAAAAAAAAAAAACACAAACTTCTGTCAATTGAAGGAATTGCTGTCAATATGCTTGACCTCAAATACAAAGATCTAATGTTGACTCTGAAAAAAAAAAATGCAAAGGGAGATAAGAGGAATCTTAAGACTTGGTGGTATTCCCTATCCCAAGGATACAAAGAAAATTAACTGAAAATATTCACTTAATCAAAGTAACCTCTTCACATATTCAGAAACTAACTGTAACATGGGAGAGGCTGAGTGCGGTGGCTCATGTCTATAATTCTAGAACTTTGGATGGCCGAGGTCAGCAGATCACCTGAGGTCAGGAGTTTGAGATCAGCCTGGCCAAGATGGTGAAACCCCGTTTCAACTAAAAATACAAAAAAAAAAAGCCGGGCATGGTGGAGCATGCCTGTAATCCCAGCTACTCGGGAGGCTGAGGCAGGAGAATAGCCTGAACCCTGGAGGCAGAGGTTGCAGTGAGCAGAGATCGCGCCACTGCACTCCAGCCTGGGCAACAGAGTGTGAGACTCCATCTCAAAAAAAAAAAATTAGCCAGGTGTAGTGGCGCATGCCTGTAGTCCCAGCACTATGGGAGGCTGAGATGTGCGGATCACCTGAGGTCAGGAGTTCAAGGCCAGCCTGGGCAACATGGTGAAACCTCATCTCTACTAAAAATACAAAACTTAGCCGGGTGTGGTGGCACAAGCCTGTAGTCCCAGCTACTTGGGAGGCTGAGGCAGGAGAATCGTTTGAACCTGAGAGGTGAAGGTTGCAGTAAGCTGAGATCATGCCACTGCACTCCAGCCTGGGTGACAGAGCGAGACTCCATCTCAAAAATAAATAGTAATAATAAAAAAAAGATTATGACAGTAGAGATGATGACCACTGTTGTCACCTTCCACTGGAAGGACACAGGATTCCCTAGATGACTTGAGTCAGTTTAGGTTCCCCATCAATTCTCTCCAAAGTCACAAGACCTATCTGTGCCTCAATGAACTCATTCTAAATAAACTACAAAATCAAGCATGGTCCAAGGGTTTCTCATATATCCTAACCTAACTGTCCTTTCTTTAGGATTCCATTGCTAAATCAATACTAAATCCTCTAAAAGCATAAGACCAAGATTCTCATTCTAATTTATTACACAAAAATATTTCAAATAACTGTAGCCAAAATATTAATAGTGGCTGCTTTGGGTGGCATGGCTTTTCCTCCTATTTTTCAATCTCTTATAATAACCATTTTCATTATATATTCCTTTCATTGACAGAAGTCAGGATCCTGAGGGAAATCAGTTTATTTTATTATAGTAAGCATTTTAAGTGTTTATTCACAAGCGAATTAAGTTTATCAATTACCATATTTCCTACATTATCTCCATCTCCTTTACTATTTTTCTATAACCAAATAGGTTAGAATTTGGAACAATTTAGCTCAGGGGAGAATTAATCACATTCTGGATCCATAATTTCACTTTTTAAAGAAGGTGAAAACTTAAAAGTAATTGGGCCTAATAGTAATCATCTTTGTCTTTTTAATAGGAAGAGAAGAGGGAGATGATAAACTGGTCCATAGATACCTACTAGTTTCAGTCTGAAAATCCCGGAAACCATCAAAAATTGAACGTGCAGGCCGTCGTCTTTTAGGAGCTTTGGGGAGAAAAAATAGAATTGAAAATTTTTTAAATTAATTTTGAAACAATTCTAAAAATGTCCTTATCTAAAAGTATTTTTTTAATAAAACATATGAAACCCTTCACGAACTGCATGTCACCCTTGCACAGGGGCCGTGCTAATCTCTGTCTCGTTCCAATTTTAGTAAATGTGCTGCCGCAGCGAGCACAGTATTTCTTGTTTTAAAACACTCAAGATTCATATGGTGCCTTCCCTCAAAAAATAAAAAAGTTTAAAAACTTTCAAATCATTCATGTATAATTAATCCAAACATCTTCCATCCAGTCATCTTGTATTACAAATGAGAAAATTCAGGCCCAGTTACAATAGACTTAATCAAACTTGTGTAAAAAGTTTACTATCGGCTGGGCATGGTGGCTCATGCCTGTAATCCCAGCACTTTGGGAGGCCAAGGTGGGTGGATCACCTGAGGTCAGGAGTTTGAGACCAGCCTGACCAACATGGTGAGCCCCTGTCTCTACTAAATACAAAAAATTAGCCAGGCGTGATGGTGCATGCCTGTAATCCCAGCTACTTGGGAGGCTGAGGCAGGAGAATCACTTGAACCTAGGAGACAGAGGTTGCAGTAAGCCAAGACTGCCATTGCACTCCAGCCTGGGCAACAAGAGCGAAACTCCATCTCAAAAAAAAAAAAAAAAAAAGTTTACTATCCTGGCCAGGCACTGTAGCTCACACCTCCTGTAATCCCAGCATTTTGGGAAGCCAAGGCAGGTGGATCACCTGAAGTCGAGTTCAAGACCAGCCTGATTAACATAATGAAACCCTGTCTCTAATAAAAATACAAAAAAACTAGCCAGGTGTGGTGGCACGCACCTGTAATCCTAGCTACTTGGGAAGCTGAGGCAGGAGAATCACTTGAACCTGGGAGGTGGAGGTTGCAGCGAGCCAAGATCACGCCACTGCACTCCAGCCTGGGCAAGAAGAGTGAAACTCCGTCTCAAAAAAAAAAAAAAGTTTACTATCTTAATATCCAAGTGGTGATATCAGGAAGAAAGAAGATTTTGAGGATGATGCCACGTAGAGATGAAGCCACACACATGCTGCAGATATCCAATTCAGGTTAGCCCTGTTGTATAGAGTAACTCTACATTCTAAACCATAAGACTTAAGGACTATTTCTTAGGGATTGGATTGGACCCACGTGCAGAACCATAAAGACAAAAAACATCTTTAATTCTGGAAACTTTTTTCACAGTTACACAATGGTTTAATGACAGAAAAGTAAACAGATCCACCTAAGGTATTCCACTACCCCTGTAGAGTGTCTATTACCCAGTCTTTAAGTATTTTACAGATAAGGTGTAGAATGCTAGAATCAAAATGTTATCTTCCTATATCTATGTGTTCTTAAACCTAAACAAATTACCAGATCATTTATGTACATTACAATAAATAAAGGCTTTTCATGATTCCCTCAATATGGGTAAGTAACTAAGTTGGCTTATGGCAAGGCTGGCCAGCATGTAACCAGAATAATTATCTGTTAATAAATGATTAGTATCAAGATTAGACAGAGACTACAGAATCCCCTTAACGCGTGTCAAAACATCTTTCCCAATAACTCGTGTTTGTGATTACATAGGATAATTCTTTATATCCAGAACTACCGAGTAAAAGGCAAAACAAAGCAACAAAAAAATGCACAACATATTAAAAACTTCATTTTTGTTTAAAACATATATTCATATGCATATCATTCCTGTGTATATGTGTATGTTTTTATGTTAAACAATCACACTATCATCTCTGGGAAAAGAGATTTTGTAATACACTGTCATGTTTTATTTTATTTTTTTTTGAGACAGTGTCTCACTCTGTTGCCCAGCTGGAGTGCAGTGGTGTGATCATGGCTCACTGCAGACTCCATCCTCCTAGGCTCAAGCCATCCTCCTGCCTTAGCCTCCCAAGCAGCTGGGACTACAAGTGTGCAGCACCATGTTCAGTTTTTTTGTTTGTTTGTTTGTTTGTTTTTTTAAGAGACGGGCATGTCACTATATCGCCCAGGCTAGTTTGGAACTCCTGGGCTCAAGGAATCCTCCCATCTCATCCTCCCAAAGTGCTGGGATTACAGGCACCAGCCACCATGCCCAGCCTGAATTAATTAATTTATTTATTTATTGCGACAGAGTCTCACTCTGTTGCCCAGGCTGGAGTGCAGTGGCATGATCTCAGCTCACTGTGACCTCCGCCTCCCAGGTTCAAGGCATTCTCCTGCCTCAGCCTCCCTAGTACGTGGGACAACAGGCATGTGCCACCACGCCCAGCCAATTTTTGTATTTTTAGTAGGGAGGGGGTTTCACCATGTTGGCCAGGCTGGTCTCAAACTCCTGACCTCAAGTGATCCACCCGCCTCGGCTACCAAAAGTGCTGGAATTACAGGAGTGAGCTACTGAGCCTGGCCTGAATTTTATTTTTAATTTAAATATTGCACCCTGTGTCGCTCTCTACCTTCCTCCCTCCCTCCTTTCTTCATTTCTATTCAAGAAAAAGCAAGAAATGTCATACTTTTCAATCTTAGAACTATTTTTGATCAAGAGCTCCTATTTCAAATGTACATGGCCTCTAGCAGGAATAATATAGCCTGCCAAAGAATGCCTCTAAAACTAGTTATCTGGCCCTGGTGCAGTGATGTGCGCCTATAGTCCCAGCTGCCCAGGTGGCTGATGTGAGAGGATCGCTTGAGCCAAGGAGTTCGAGTACAGTCTGTGCAACATACTGACACCCTGTCTCTTAAAAAAAAAAAAAAAAAATTAACTTTTTAAAAATAACTAGATATCTGAAACTTTTTAACTGTAACAATTAAGAAACTGGCTGGAGGCTGGGCATGGTAGCTCACGCCTGTAATCCCAGCACTTTGGGAGACCGAGGTGGGTGGATCACGAGGTCGGGAGATTGAGACCATACTGGCTAACACGGTGAAACCCCATCTCTACTAAAAAATAGAAAAAATTAGTCAGGCGTGGTGGCGGGTACCTGTAGTCCCAGCTACTCGGGAGGCTGAGGCAGGAGAACAGCGTGAACCCAGGAGGTGGAGCTTGCAGTGAGCTGAGATCGCACCACTGCACTCCAGCCTGGGCCACAGAGCGAGACTCCATCTCAAAAAAAATAAAAAATAAAAACCAAGGATGTCTTAGAATAAGAATAGCTGCCTAAGAAAGTATATTATTTTAGGAAGGTAGCACATAAAAGGTAATTTTCTTCTACTTTTAAACTGCCAAAGATAGGTTAGTCAATATTCCACATCACCTTTCCAACCTCCCCCTTCTCTATAAGGGACTGATCTCCGTATACTCACTAGTTCCTCTTATTGCTATCCTTCTACCCAATTCCTTTTACTTCTTGGGCTAATAACCCTCTTCCCATTTGTCTTCCCTTCGTTTACCCTATTTCTAAGCAAAAACCTCTCCTCAGACCACACCACCTCTAGCCCTAAGACTATTACTGCTACCTGCCTTTTCAATGTGGTCTCCTGGCTCTTCCAAGCCGTCTGCCACAAGGAAACATCAGTCCTCTGTCCTCACTCTACTGCCCACATAATAGAAGTACTGGTCACTGAAGCCAAAGAGACTAAGCTATAAAGAGCTAAAAGAAATTCAGGAGCTTCAAAGTCAGCATAGGGGAGGGACAGGTGGAGAAAAAATGTAGTGAGAAGAGTGGCACTGTTTTACATGTCCACATATCTGTTCGTATTTGGCTTCAGAGAAGACATCTGGATCTTCAGATCTGCTTCTGCATTCCTTTAGATCTGCTGCTATTCTTTTAGTTCAAGTATAGAAAGAAAACTAAAATTTACTCTCACGCAGACACGCAGTTGTAAAAGGGAGTAGTGGGCTTTTTGTTTTAAAAGATGGGGGTCTCACTATGTTGCCCAGGCTGAAGGGCAGTGGCTATTCACAGGCACAATCCCACTACTGATCTGCACCTGCTCCGTTTCCTCTTCCTTAGGTCATCTGGTGTCCTCCACTGCTGGCAGGTCACCATATTGATTCCGAACTTAGTGCAGACACCCAATCAGCATAGGGCCCTACAGCCAAGAACTCCTGGGGCTCAAGCCATACTCCCGCCTCAGCCTCCAGAGTAGCTGAGACTACATGTCTGTGCCACCATACCCAGCAGGGAGGAGTGTTTTAAAGTCTTAGATGATTGTGGATATTCCTCTTTAACAGTACACCAATACTTAACCAATGGTAGTTTCTTAGAGGACAGCTGCAAAGTGGAATCTGAAATCTTATCAATGAGTTTTTCATACTGTTTCATTAAAACCCACTGTACTATGTGGTAGGCAGTGTCTAAGACAGCCCCCAATTTTCCCTGTCTCCCAGTATTGATAACCTGTGGGTGAATACCTTGAGTACAGGCAGGATTGAACAGAATGTGGCAGACATGATGGGATTTCACTTCCAGATTACGTTACAAAAAGACAGTGGCTTCCGTTTTGGGCTGCCCTCTCTGGCTCTCTCATTTGCTCTGTGTTAAGAATGGATGCCCCCAGGCAATAGCCACATGAATGAGTTTAGGAGATCCTCCTCCATTCAGGCTTTGAGATGAATGGTAGCCTAGCTGACATGTTGACCACACCTTTGTAGGAGACCCTAACCAAAGGCCACACCCAGATTGCTGACCCAAAGAAACTGAGATAACAAACGTTTGTTTTTTTCAGGCAGTTTAATTTTGGAACAATTTTTCACTCAGCAATAAATATCTAATACAATTCATCTCGCAGTCTGAATGGATCTTTTACCTATGCACAATTTTGTAGTATCATGCATTGGTTATTCAAAAATACTTGTTTACTGAGTAATGCAAACATTTCAAATATTAATGGTTTCATTACACAGTATTTTAAAAATCATCTGTTTCATGTCACCACTGATCTTATCAGAAAGCCTTCAAGTACTGGGAAAGTATCAAGCTCACAAAGGTGGGTACAAAAAATTTTCTAAAATCCTGTTTTTTGCCTGAAAGCTCTTTTGTAATTTATCATTGTTTTTGAGATGAGGTCTGTCATCAGTAGGCTGAAGTGCAGTGGTGCAATCATGGCTCATGCCTTGACCTCCCAGGCTCAATCCATCTTCTCACCCCTCGGCCTCCTGAGTAGCTGGGACTACAGGCATGTGCCACCACACCCAGCTCATTTTTTTCTTAATTTTTTGTAGAGATGGGGGTCTCCCTATGTAGCCCAGGCTGGTGTGGAACTCCCAGGCTCAAACAATCCTCCCGCCTCAGCCTCCGAAAGTAATCCCAAAGTGTTCGGATTACAGGTGTGAGTCACCACGTCCGGCCAAACCTCTTTTTTAAAATCACTGATAACAAACACTCTCAGTTGTATTGAAGTAACAAGCTCACATTTTCAAGAAAATGCCAACTGTCAAAGTGTAAACTGATAGTCTGTCAGCGATTTTTCAAGTAAAAAGAATGTTCCATGAAAAAAGCTGCCTACTTCAGCTCGCTACTCTAACAATCACACAAGTGCTTTTCCTTAAGGTAATCATAGTACTTCATTATGCCAAAGTGCTTTGTGCATACATCCTATTTCAAACAATATTTTAAAACTGTGTACTCAAGGATCAGGATTTAATGAAATTAATCATTTTTATTGCTTCATCAAGAACATTATTAAAGAAAACTGCTTTTAAATTAATTTATTATTTTTTTTTGAGTTGGGGTCTCAATACGTTGCCCAGGCTGGTCTCAAACTCCTGGGCTCAAGCAATCCTCCCGCCTCAGCCTCCCAAAGTGTTGAGATTACAGGTGTAAGCCACTGCAACTGTCCTATTTATGTTTCTTTTATAGACAGGGCCTCACTCTGTTATACAGGCTGCAGTGCAGTGGCATGATCATAGTTCACTGCAGCCTAGAACTCCCAAGCTCAAGCGATCCTCCCACCTCAGACTCCCAAGTAACTAGGACTACAGGCACGTGCCACCATGCCTAACGAATTTATTTTTATTTTTTGTAGAGATAAGAGTCTTCCTATGTTGTCTGGGCTACTCTCCAACTCCTGGTTGCAAGTGATCTGTTCAACTGTGGCCTCCCAAAGGACTGGGATTACAAGCATGAGCCACTGCACCTGGCCCTGCCTTTTAGATTTTTTTTGTAAACTTCAAATATGCAGCAGTGAAGAATTCACTATCTAGTGATACAGCCTGAAGCCACCACATGAATTCAACCAAGATGCCAGCAGTCTGACTCATCATTGTTTCTGAACTATCAGTCTAAATGTCACCACAATGAAAATAATTTGATGTCCAGTATAATGGTGCATGCCTATAATCCCAGCTACTTAGGAGGCTGAGATAAGAAGATCACCTGAGCCTAAGAGTTCTGGCCTGTAGTGTGCTATGCCAGTCAGGTGTCTACACTAAGCTCGACATCAATATAATTACCTCCCGGAAGTAGGGGGACCACCAGGTTACCTAAGGAGGGGTGAACTGGCCCAGGTTGGAAACAGAGGTCAAAACTCCTGTGCTGATCACTAGTGGGATCACGCCTGTGAGCAACCACTGCACTCCAGCCTGGGGCAACACAGCAAGACCCCATCTTGGGAAAAAAAAAAAACCCTTAGTATTATTACGTAAGTTGTTTTAACTTTACAGACAACCTGAAAGGGAATATTAGGGACCTGAGCCCACACCTGAACTGTGATTTAAATCAATACTGTCTTAAGAAAATAGTTTCTAAAGACCCATTTCAAGTTATAACGTCTAATAATGAAAGGTAAGAATGACTTCCTAACTGTAAAAAGTCATTCTCAGTGTCGTCCTTACTGTACACCAATTCAGAGATAAAAAAAGGAAGAAAGCGGCCAGGTGTGGTGGCTCACGCCCGTAACTCCAATATGGGCCAAGGCCAAGGCCAAGGCAGGCAGGAAGCTTGCTTGAGATCAGTTCCATAGCAGCCAGGGCAAACAGCAATGCCCTGTCTCCACAAAACAAAACAATTAGCCAGGCGTGGTGGCATGCACCTATAGAAGGCTGAGGTGGGAGGAATCCTTGAGCCCAGGAGTTTGAGACTGCAGTAAGCAAGGATTGTATCACTGCACTCCAGCCTGGGCAACAGACTCCATTTCTGCAAAACAAAAGAAAAAAAAAAGAGTAAAGTGGGGCTTCCAAATGGAATTCTTCTGCCTCTGTTCAAAAGCAATACAGCACAGAATTTACTTCCTATAGTCCTACAAAGACGCTGTATTATTCCTTGCAATAAAGAGAAGATAAAGCTTCCAAGGGCATTACTCTTTTGCTCCAAATCTATTCCTAGCATTTATATTTTTAAAATTATGAGCAATATGGTATATTAACAGCATAATGACTATCTGCAGTGAGCAGTCCAGAAAGCACTTCATTACACTACAGTATTCAGACTTTACAGCTTTCCTCTTGCCTTTTATTTCCAAATCTAGACAGTATATTCTTTTGTTTCTTGCTATAATAAACACCAAAGCTGCCAAGTTAAAAACATTTATCTCGGCCGGGTATGGTGGCTCATGCCTGTAATCCCAGCACTTTGGGAGGCCGAGGCGGGCGGCTCACCTGAGCTCGGGAGTTCAAGATCAGCCTGACTAACATGGAGAAACCCCGTCTCTCCAAAAAAAAAAAAAAAAAAAAAAAAAAATATATATATATATATATATATATACACACACACACACACACACACATATATATATATACACATATATACAAAAAATAAAAATTAAAAAAATAAATAAAAAGGTTTATCTCATAAAAACTCTCAACTAAAGTACTTTATCAAAAGACATACATATAATTTTATTCATCCTTTTGTTACAACGTATATTTCCTCCTCTTAGTTTACCGATGAAGGCTATGTATGTATTATCCTAAGTGAATTAATGCAGGAACAGAAAGCCAAATACCGGACGTTCTCATAAGAGAGAGCTGAGTACAAACAGACACAAAGAAGGGAACAGACACCAGGGCCTGGTTGAGGGTGGAGGGCGAGGATTGAAAAAAATACCTATAAGCCAGGCGTGGTGGCTCGCTCCCGTAATCCCAGCACTTTGGGAGGTTGAGGCCAGAGGATCGCTTGAGCCCAGGAGTTTGGGACCAGCCTGGGCAACATAGCAAGACTCCATCTCTATTTTAAAAAAAAAAAAAAAAAAAAAGTAAAGAAAGGAAAGAAAGAAAAGAAAAGAGAAGAGAGAAGAGAAGAGAAGAGAAGAGAAGAGAAGAGAAGAAAAACTACCTATTGGGTACTACGCTCATTACCTAGGTGATAATCTGTACACCAAACCCACGCAACATGCAATTTACCCATGTAACAAACCTGCACATGTACCCCAAACCTAAAATAAAAGTTGGAGGGAAAAAAATTTGTATGTCTCTTGTACTCAATTGTATTTATTTATTTATTTTGAGAGAGAGTCTTACTCTGCTGCCCAGACTGGAGTGCAGTGGCAGTATCTCGGCTCACTGCAACCTCAGCCTCCCGGTTTAAGCAATTCTCATGCCTCAGCCTCCTAAGTAGCTGGGATTACAGGCATGTGCTGCCATGCCTAGCTAATTTTTGTACTTTTAGTAGAGATGGGATTTTGACATGTTGGCTAGGCTGGTCTTGAACTCCCGGCCTCGAGTGATCTGCCCACCTCAGCCTCCCAAAGTGTTGGGATTACAGGTGTGAGCCACCTCAACACAAAGTATTTCTCTGCATTAACTGTTCTCAATATATACTATATACAGTTTTCTGTCTTGGTCTGCCCAAGCAGATTGTAATTCCATCTTGTATTTTTTTCTATATAAACTCATGATTAACACAAACTCTTTGGCTTACAAAAGGGAAATAAATGCTTAACGATAAATTAATCTGATTAAATGTCCCATTCTCTATCGCCAGTCTCTATCCAGATTCATATCACAATTTTTCACATGAATGAGGGGTTACTGTGCCCTTCATCCACATGAGGAACAGCACTTCTACAAACTAAGAGAGAAGGTAAGGCATATCTAGAGAGTAAGGATATGGCAGTCAAGTAGGTATCCAGAAAATAAAAATAATCAGAATCTTTTCATTATTCATTCCCATTACAAGGCAGTAATTCTTTTTGCTAACGTCCCTCCTTTTGGCATTTTCCAACAAATATCAATTTTTAACATCTGCTTCACTCTTTGTGAGTCAACTGTGCAACTTTCTTGACAGGACTATAGAAAAAATAAGAAATGACACCACACTTCTAACAGTCTCCTAGCAAGCCTTCACATCTTTTGATGGTTTCATTAAAATCCTAAAGAACAAAATCAAATAAGGCTAAGGGAAAAAAGTGAACTTACCACCAAATAATGGTTCTGGTTCCACCAGTATTTCCTGCTTTTGAGGAATTGGGGCACGAACTTCTTCTCTATTAAAAAAAAATGGGAAAATAAAAAATGAAAACTGTTTTCTGCTACCTGTTTGCTTTCTGTAAATACTGTGAATATATTCAAATTAACGTAGTGACTTTTAGAAGCACAGTAATAATAAGTTTTTGTGTTGCTATTTTTTTGGGGGGGCGGTGGAGACAGTGTCTCACTCTGTCGTCCAGGCTGGAGTGGACCGACACGATCTTGGCTCACTGCAACCTCCACCTCCCGAGTTAAAGCAAATCTAGTGCCTCAGCCTCCCTAGCAGCTGGGACTACAGGCATACACCATCACACCTGGCTAATTTGTTTTCATATTTTTAGTAGTGACAGGGTCGCGCCATGTTGGCCAGGCTGGTCTCAAACTCTTGAGCTCAAGCAATCCACCCACCTCAGCCTTCCAAAGTGCTAGGATTACAGGCATGAGCTACTGCATCCGGCTGATAAATGAGTTTTAGATAGTTTCCACATAAAGCTCAAGTGGAAAAGAGTACCTGGCATATATAGCTCAAATGGTTTGGAAATAAAAACAATTTCCCCTTCCCTCTCAAGTTTCCTACCTTAAATTCTGTCAGAAAAAAAGAAAAAAATTTTCCCCCAAAAAATCAGGCAGAAATGAACAGAAAAATATAGGCTTAATAGAAGCAATATCACATTACTACTATATCAAAGAATAATTAAATCACAAGGACATATTAAAATAAACTTTAAAAGGCAGTGAATTTCATGCTAATTATGAAAGAGGCTAACAGGTATGATCTTGGATTATTTACTAAAAAGATCCTAATATACAGAACAAAAAAAGTAATTACTCATCTTTTAAAAGCCTATTTTCTTCAAAGTTTACATTCATAGGGTTTACTGATAATCCATCTCTTCCAATAAGAAAAAACTCATTTAGATATACTGTAAAAATGGTGTGTGCCTTTAAAGATTAGTTTATTTTAGGTTGGGCATGGTGGCTCATGCCTGTAATCCCAGTACTTTGGGAGAGGAGGCAGGAGGCTCACTTGAGCCCAGGAGCTGGAGACCAACCTTGGCAACATAGTAAGACTCCATCTCTAAAAAAAAAAAGAAAAAGAAAAAAAAAAATTACTTTGTTTTACAGTTGTAACTCAACTATTGAACTTTGCTGATTAATGTTCACAGCAAATAGTAACTTCCTAATTCATTATCTTCCTGCTTATAAGTATTATTATATAAGCATGCAAATTCCATATAAATTTATGTTAGCCCTAATGGTTTTTTTTTTTTTTTTTTTGAGACGGAGTCTCACTCTGTGGCCCAGGCTGGAGTGCAGTGGTATGATCTCGGCTCACTGCAAGCTCCGCCTCCCAGGTTCACGCCATTCTCCTGACTCAGCCTCCCAAGGAGCTGGGACTACAGGCGCACGCCACCACGCCCGGCTAATTTTTTGTATTTTTAGTGGAGACGGGGTTTCACTGCGTTAGCCAGGATGGTCTCAATCTCCTGACCTCGTGATCCGCCCACCTCGGCCTCCCAAAGTGCTGGGATTACAGGCGTGAGCCACCGCGCCCGGCCAATGGTTTTCATTCAGGTGTTCTGAACAGTATTAACTAAAGATCTTGTTTTTGACATTTAAGTGTTGGAACTCCAAAACATCCTTTATGAAATGAAGTAGGAATACTCATTTGTCAATAATTACATCCTGTAATCAAAGAACAACCAGTTAAAGAAATTTCCAATAAACCAAGTGACAAAAGGATAATTCAAAATTATGTTAAGTACCCTTTCCTACTGCTCACACACAAAATTTCGATAATCTGAAGAAACAGACGACACATCTATAAGAGTAAGCTCTGTCAATCCTTTCATCAAAAGGAAATAGGCCAGCCAGGCATGGTGGCTCACACCTGCAATCCTAGCATTTTGAGAGGCCAAGGCAGGTGGATCGCTTGAGCTCAGGAGTTCAAGACCAGCCTGGGCAACAAGGCAAAACCCCATCTTTACAAAAAATACAAAAATTAGTCAAGTGTGGTGGCATGCGCCTATAGTCCCAGCTACTTGAGGCGCCGAGGTTGCTTGAACCCGAGAGGAGGAGGTTGCAGTGAGTTGAGAGCAGTAAGCAGAGATCACACCCCTACATTCCAGTCTGAGTTACAGAGCAAGACTGTGTTTTTAAAAAAAGAGTTAATTATCTTAAGAAAACTGGTGCACACAGTGGCTCACGCCTGTAATCCCAGCACTTTGGGAGGCCGAGGTAGGTGGATCACGAGGTCAGGAAATCGGGACCATCCTGGTCAACGTGGTGCAACCCCATGTCTACTAAAAATAAGAAAATTAGCCGGGCGTGGTGGAGTGTACCAGCAGTCCCAGCTACTTAGGAGGCTGAGGCAGGAGAATCCACTTGAACCCAGGAGGCAGAGGCTGCAGCAAGCCAAGATCACACCTCTGCACTCCAGCCTGGCGACACAGAGAGACTCCGTCTCAAAAAAAAAAAAAGAAAAGAAAAAAAAAGAAAGAAAGAAAGAAAACTTTTACCTAAACAAAACTTTCCATTATTGTTATACCTCGCTTTACAGTGTGTGTGTGTGTGTGTATATATATATAATTGTCTCAATCTCAGACAACTCAGTTGTTCTATAAACAAACTTTAATCTGATGAAATGCATCAATTAGAGGGGTGGATTAAGTAGTACACTTGTCCTTACACGAAAAGACTTGATTACTACATTATCTGAGGGTATCTGTACCAAGACTGTCAGCTACCAAGAATGGAAGGATGGAACAGAAAAAAGTGAATAAAGAAAATCACACTTTAGGAATTAGGAGCCATTATCAAATGTTAATCAATTAGCAATACAAACTATCTAAGCCAAGTTATATATAGGGCAATTCATTAGGAAAAGATATTCATTTATCAAAACTATTTTTCAACACAATTGAGAAAACATGTTTTATACAATGAGGATAAATATGCTCTCCCAAAACAACTATGAATATTTGCTATTCAAGTTTCTGTATTAGGTGGTTTTTTGTGTTTTTTTTGTTTTTTGTTTTTTTTTTGAGACAGGAGGCCTCACTCTGTGTCATCCAGGTTGGAGTGCAGTGGCACAATCATGGCTCACTGCAACCTCAACCTCCCAGGCTCATGTGATCCTCCCATCTCAGCCTGCCAAGTAGCTGGGACTACAGTCGCGTACCACCACACCCGGCTAATTTTTGTATTTTTTGTAGAGACAGGGTTTTGCTATATTGCCCAAGCTGGTCTCAAACTCTTGGGCTCAAGCCATCCTCCTGCCTTGGCCTCCCAAAGTACTAGAATTACAGGCATGAGCCACCATGCCTGGACTTTTTTTTTAAATATTAAGGTTTTCATACTGATTTCTGTTAAGAGTTTGAGCTATATTGGGAGCGAAATACATGGCCAACATTAACAGAAAAAACTCTACACAATATTATTTTTATTATTTTTTTGAGACAGAGTCTTGCTCTGTCACCCAGGCTGGAGTGTAGTGGCACGATCTCTGGTCACTGCAACCTCTGCCTCCTGGGCTCAAGCAATTCTTGTGCCTCAGCCTCCCGAGTAGCTGGGATTACA
The DNA here is from genome assembly GCF_000001405.40 of Homo sapiens. NCBI lineage: Eukaryota > Metazoa > Chordata > Mammalia > Primates > Hominidae > Homo > Homo sapiens. The sequence continues at coordinate 196,406,582 of NC_000003.12, forward strand.
GGCGCATGCCACCACGCCTGGCTAATTTTTGTATTTTTTTTTTTAGTAGAGACACGGTTTCACCATGTTGGTCAAGCTGGTCTCGACCTCCTGACCTCGTGATCAGCCCACCTCGGCCTCCCAAAGTGCCGGGATTACAGGCATGAGCCACCGCGCCCAGCCTAGCTTCAAGCATTTTTCATAGCAACTCAAAACATTTCTGTGACAATGTAGAAAAACCTAAAATTGGGAAATCTGAACTTTACTGGGCTCTACTGCTACTTAATTGCTGTGTAGCTTGGGGAAATGGCTATGCCTCTGCTTCCTTATTGGTAAAATGTTGATAATGCCATCCAATAAGGTGTTTGTTTATTTGCTGCTGCCGTGAGGCACACAGGCCCTGCTGGCCACGGGCCAATCCTAGCAGAGCACCACCACACACTCCAACCAACCCCATCTCCCCGACTTCACAGAGCCTACACGGTTCCTTTGAGGATTAAATAAGCAAGACAGTACTCTAAAGAATTTAAAGTATGTAACTACAAAAATTTCCACTTCATACTTTTTCAGAGGCTTTCAGCCTTTCATTTATTTCAAAACCAGAGAATCGACCTAGCTTTGATAAAAATGCAACTACTTAATTTAGGCAATGGATAGCTCCTGACAACACATAATAAATTCATACTCTGTGTGTGGTCTGACAGTAGAGACACTTGCTGAACTGGTACTGGGCTCTTCAGCGATTCCTCCACCATCCAAAAACATAGTGACTGCCATTTCCAGATTATTGTTGCACGCTTCAAGCATATGTTTTCCTACACTTTCACTTGCACCTGAAACAGTAAAAAGACAGGAAAAACGTTAAAAAAAAAAAAAAAAAAGACAGCCTCTTTCTTCAGCTCATATTAGAATTCCCAAGTAAATTAATAGTATTTTTCCCTTTTAGAATGAATGACTTTCTTGTGAAATACACAGAGCTAGAAAAAAATGTAGACATTCTTGAAGTGAAATACAGAGCTAGAAAAGAATTTAGCAGCATTAAAGAGTAATCATCCTTCATAATAAAACAAAAACTAAATAAAGCATTTTTTGGCCATTTCTTTGGCCATTTATTTAAATGGCCAAAGTATATATTTGGGAATAAGCTGAAAAAAGATAAAGAAAAATGAAAGACTACATTCTAGAAAGTTAGAAATGCTTTGTTAGAAAGAATACATTTCAGTTAGCATTTCTGTTTCTGTTAAAAAGAAAGCATCAGGCTGGGCGCAGTGGCTCACACCTGTAATCCCAACACCTTGGGAGGCTGAGGCGGGCAGATCACGAGGTCAGGAGTTGGAGACCAGCCTAACCAACGTGGTGAAATGCCGTCTCTACTAAAAACACAAAAATTTGCCAGGCATGGTGGTACACACCTGTAATCCCAGCTACTTGGGAGGCTGAGGTAGGAGAATTGCTTGAACCCAGGAGGCAGAGGTTGCAATGAGCCGAAGTCACGCCACTGCACTCCAGCCTGGGCAACAGAGCGAGACTCTGTCTCAAAAAAAAAAAAAAAAAAAAAAAAGCATCTTTAATACCAATGGCAAAGAAGTGAGATGGAACATTTTTTGTCTAAGACATAACTAAGTCAAAATCTGGTAAGAAATGTCAATCTTCATCATTTAAAAATGTCCCTATTACAAATGTACTCATTTGTAAATAAAGTAAAGCTAACAGAGTCTGCTAAATGAAATGTAAATTGGTAAGGTCCTTTAAGACAACAATTTTACAACATGTATTCCAGAAACAAAAATACTCATTCCTTTTTTGACTCAGTAATTTGGGCTTCTAGTCAAAAGAAAATAAAATCTACATAAAATACTATATGCATAAACATGTTCATACACATGTCCAGCATAGCTTCAGTTTATATTGAAAAGTTGGAAATAACATAAATGTCTAGTGATAGAATGTAAATTGAACATTTTCTGGCCACTAAAAAGCACCTCAAGCTTTCCATTTGGGATGATTTTTCTTCTATCTGAATTATGTCCCTTAGAATCTCCTTCTCTTGGTGGTAAATGCTCTTAAGTTTTTGTCTGCAAATGTCTTTATTTCGCTGTCATTCCTGACAGTTTTACTGGGTATTCCATTTCAAAGCTGACAGCTATTTTCTCTCAGAATATTGAAGACAGCATTCCAATGTCCTCTGGCTTCTGTTGTTGCTGCTGGGAAATCAGTTGCCAGACTAAAGAAAAATGTTTTTATAGCAATCTGTTGTTTCTAGTTGCTTTTAAGACCCTCTGTCTTTAGCCTTCTGCAATTTCACTCTGATTTGTCAGGGTGATTTTATTTATCCTCTTTGGAATTCAATGGACTTCTACCACTTGAAGATTATCTTTTATCAATTCTGAAAAATTCCCAGTGATTTATATTTGATCGTTGTCTCGCCCCCTCCATTCATACTTATTTCCTCTGTAACTCCAATTAGATGTATGTTACAACTCTTCACTCTAACCCTTATGTCTCAACCTTTCTTTCATATGCATATTGTCTCTTTGAGCTGTCTATGGTGCATTGTGGGTAATCTCTTCAATGCTATCTTCCAGTTCACACATTCTCCCTTTAGCTGTGCCAATCTGTTTCTTCACTTGCTCACTGAGCTTTTGATTTCAGCTAATTTTTTATAACTAGAAGTTCTGTTTTTGTTTACGTCCTCATCTGCTTGATCATGTTTTGGAGATCCTTAATTCCTACTATTCCAATCTTTCATTTCTTCAAACATATTAACCCAACTTATTGGAATCACTAATCACTAAGGAAAAAAATAAATTTTCTACAGTTTCTATAGGTCACTGTTTCTTGTTTCTGCTGGATCTTGCTCACTGTGTCACAGTTTTTGTGTGATTTGTGATTTTTTTACTGTGATGTCATGTGCCTTGAAATTTTAATCTACAGAATTCTGAAGCCTGGGTTGAAGGTACATTTCCTCCTAAGAGGATATGATTTGACAGACTTTGCAAGGCACCCACAGGCACTACCAAACTGAGACCACTTTAAATACACTTCTGACTTGGAGGTTTTTCAAGACCACATGAGAAATGTGACTGTAACAATCTTTGTTATAAATTCTCTGTGAAGATGTTCATCTCCATACATCCCCTCCCCACTGCCAAGGTAGAAGCGTCCTACTCTCTGCTTTATGAAGGGGAGGAGCCTTCTTTCAGGCCCCTTTCCTTGCTAAGGCCCCAAGCTTTCTTTCCTGTGACCCATGAGTCTACCAAAAGGGAAGTTCAAAGCCATCCAGTGTGGACAGATTCCACCAGACCTGCTTTAAAGGTAGCTAATTTCTGCATTCTTCATTTTTAGCCTGGTGCTAACCAATAATGTATTTTAAAAGAAACTTTTTTTTTTTTTTTTTGAGACGGAGTTTCACTCTCATCACCCAGGCTGGAGTGTAATGGTGCGATCTTGGCTCACTACAACCTCCACTTCAGGGTTCAAGCGATTCTCCTGTCTCAGCCTCCCAAGTGGCTGGGATTACAGGCGCCTGCCACCACACCGGGCTAATTTTTCTATTTTTAGTAAAGACAGGGTTTCACCATGTTGGCCAGGCTGGTCCTGACCTCCTGACCTCAGGTGATCCACCCGCCTTGGCCTCCCAAAGTGCAGGGATTACAGGAGTGAGCCACCACACTTGGCCTAAAAAATGTTTTTTAAATACATACATTCTTCAGCACTTTTTTTCTCAGCAGCAGGGTTACTCATGTTATCACTCTACATTACCCTTACTGCAAGAAATGGAAGTGCTAACTCTACTCTTAATGTCTCTCATTTGTTTTCTCTTCTGTACTACTGTCTCTAAGGCAAATCCTTAATACTTACCTCAATTACTTCAATAGGCTACTAACTGATCATTATTCCATTTTCTACCTTGCTGCAGAGGGTATCTCCCAAAATACAAGTCTCATTATATCATCCCTCTGTTTAAAATCACTTCATGGCAGCCAGGCACGGAGGCTCACGCCTATAATCCCAGCACTTTGGGAGGCCAAGGTGGGCAGATCACGAGGTTAGGAGTTCAAGACCAGCCTGGCCAAGATGGTGAAACCCCATCTCTACTAAAAATACAAAAATTAGCCAAGCATGTGAGCACACACCTGTAATCCCAGCTACTCAGGAGGCTGAGGCAGGAGAATCTCTTGAACCTGGGAGGCGGAGGTTGCAGTGAGCTGAGATTACACCACTGCACTCCAGCCTGGGCAACGGAGCAAGACTCCATCTCAAAAAAAAAAAAAATCCCTTAATGGCTTTCTTCTGCTGCCTGCAGTATAAATTCAAGTCTTTATGATCTGGAAAGCCCTTTGTGATCAGGCCTCAGCTTATTTCTCTGGCTTTGCCTTTCTTCTTCCTCATCCTACACAGTTTACTATAGTCAAACTAAATTACATGCTTAGAATGCCCTTATCCTCCCCATCGTCCCCTCATCTAGTTCATGCATGCTGAAATCAACCGAAATGTTACTCTGTTGATCTGTGCACTAGCCTACCTGCCCGTTCCCATCCCTGTGATAATGTTCTATTATATCCATGGATATACTACTAGTAAATGCTGGTTCCTTTTCTGGCTCCCCCAAAAGAATAGAAGGTTCTTGAACAGAGGAACTGGTTTTCTTGCCTTGGTATCTCCCAGCACCTGGCATCACACTTTGCTTGCATGTGATCAATGTCTGATAAACTTAGTGATATCTCATAGTACTTTAACTCATTAGCTACATACTAGAGAGAGGGAGTAGGCCTTAGTCAAAACCACTGGCAACCCTTTTATAACAATTTAATTTTGCACTTTGTGCATATACTTATGTTTTAAAATTAATTTATAAAGCAGTACAGTTATGCTGTGGAAATAAATAGCAAATGGATACGCTGGATTCATGGATTTAAGATAAATTTAAAGAGAAGTGAAAATAACAGGCTTCAAAAAACTAGCAGATGGCCGAGCACAGTGGCTCACATCTGTAATCCCAGCACTTTGAGAGACCAAGGCAGGCAGATCACCTGAGGTCAGGAGTTCGAGTCCACCTGACCAATATGGTGAAACCCCTTCTCTATTAAAAATATGAAAATTAGCCGGACGTGGTGGCAGGCGCCTGTAATCCCAGCTACTCGGGAGGCTGAGACAGGAGAATCGCTTAACCTGGGAGGCGGAGGTTGCAGTGAGCCAAGATCGTGCCATTGCACTCCAGCCTGGGGCACAAGAGTGAGACTTCGTCTCAAAAAACAAACAAACTAGCAGATGACATGGAGTAGCTATAGCCTTTTCTGATAGCTGATAAAGATATATATTTAAGGTGCAAATGAAAACAACCAAATAAACTCATTTCATAAAATATGACTGAAAAAAGGCGGCCGGCCAGGTGCGGTGGCTCATGCCTGTAAACCTGGCACTTTGGGAGGCTGAGGTAGGTGGATCATTTGAGCTCAGGAGTTCGAGACCAGCCTGGCCAACAGGGTGAAACCCCGTCTTCTACTAAAAATACAAAATCAGCCAGGCGTGGTGGCAGGTGCCTAATAGCTCCCAGCTATTAGGGAGGCTGAGGCAGGAAAATTGCTTGAATCCAGGAGGCGGAGGTTACAGTGAGCTGAGATCACACCACTGCACTCCAGTTTGGGTGACAGAGCGAGACTTTGTCTCAAAAAAAAAAAAAAAAAAAGAAAAAAGAAAAAAGCATGAATATACAACGTGTGTAATAATGTTAAATCAATAAATATTACCAAAGAAAGCACCTGATCATTTCACTTAAATCTCTAGAAACGCAAATAGTTGACGGTCAACTGTTTTTTTTAGTACCAGCTTATACCCATTAAAAAGGCTACTATTAAAAAACAAAAAATAACAAGTGTGGGTGAGCATGTGGAGAAACTGGAACCACCATGCACTCTTGATGGGAATATAAAATGGTACAACGAGGGTGGAAAACTATGGAGATTCCTCAAAAAGCTAACAACAGAATATGATCCAGTAATTTCACTTCTGGAGATATACCCAGAGAACTGAAAGCAGGGTCTCAAAAATATATTTATATGCCCACTTTCATAATAGCATTATTCACAGTAGGTAAAACATGGAAGCCACCCAAGTATACATCAACACATGAATGGATAAACAAAAGTAGTATATTCATACAATGGAATCTCATGGAGCCTTGAAAAAGAAGGAAATTCGGACATGAATGAACCTTGAGGACATTATGCTAAGTGAAATAAGCCAGTCACAAAATTACAAACGCCATATGATTCTACTTATGTGAGACATTTAGAGCACTAAAAATCGAGTCAGAAAGTAGAATGATGGTTGCCAGGGGCTGGAGGAAGGTAGAATGAGGAACAGGGAGTTCTTGTTTAATGGGTATAGAGTTTCAGTTTTACAAAACAAAGAGTTATAGAGAGGGACGGTGGTAATGGTTACACATTATTAATGTATTTAATACCACTGAACTGTACCCTGAAAAATGGTTAAAATGGGCCAAGCACGGTGGCTCATGGCTGTAATTCAGCACTTTGGGAGGCCGACGTGGGCGGATCACTTGAGGTCAGTTAGAGACCAGCCTGGCCAACATGGTGAAACCCCGTCTCCACTAAAAATACAAAAATTAGCCAGGTGTGGTGGTGGGCACCCGTAATCCCAGCTACTGGGCAGGCTGAGGGAGGAGAACCGCTTGAACCCAGGAGGCAGAGGTTGCAGTGAGCCGAGGTTGCTCCATTGCACTTCAGCCTGGGCAACAAGAGCGAAACTCTGTCTCAAAAAAAAGGTTAAAATGATAAATTTTGTTATATACGTGTTAATACAATTTAAAAAATTGAAAAAACAAACACCCTTTTTGGGAAATTTAGAGAAAATCGCCTTTCATTTGGGGTCTGCCTTTTATCTAGGTATATATGGTAATTTAAGTTACACAGAACCAGGGAGGTTTTTCCTTTAAAAGAGCTTCATACATTACTCAAATTTGAGAAACATTCTTAGACCCTTCTTTCTCCCCCGAGTGAACATCCCATCAGTTAACCAAAGAGAGCTATAGTTCCTTCTAGTTAATACCACTCCTAACCAACCTTTTCTATGTCCACTGCTACAGTCTTAGTTCAAGCCCTCAACATCTCTTACATGAATTACTGTATCTCACACCTCATGGCCCCCTTTGATATAGTCATCCCTCCAGTATCCATGGGGCACTGGTTCCATGACTGTCCAAGGATACCAAAATTTGAGAATGCTCAAGTTCTTCATATAAAATGGTACAGTATTTGCAAACAATCTATACTTTAAATCATCTCTAGATTACTTATAGCACCTAATACAATGTAAATGCTATTACATTGTACCTAATACAACGTAAACAGTTGTTATACTATAGAGAATAATGACAAACAGAAAAGTCTCTACGTGTTCAGTAGAGATGGAACAATGTTTTCTTTTTCCCTGAATATTTTGTTTCTTTTTTGCTGGAGTGCAGTGGTACGATCTCCGCTCACTGCAACCTCTGCCTCCCAGGTTCAAGTGATTCTCCTGCCTCAGCCTCCCAGGTAGCTGTTCTGTTGCCACCACCATACCTGGCTAATTTTTGTATGTTTAGTAGAGACAGGGTTTCACCATGTTGGCCAGGCTGGTCTTGAACTCCTGACCTCAGGTGATCCGCCTGCCTTGGCCTCCCAAAGTGCTGAGATTATTTACAGGCATACGCCACTGCACCCGGCCTTTTCCCTGAATATTTTCAATACGCAGGCTAAATTCACCAATACGGAACCCATGAATATGGAGGGCCAGATGTACCTTCGACACAGCAAAATAATGTAAGTTCAATTGTCTGTCTTCCTATTTCAACAGTTCTGTATTGCTGATTGAAAAAGTTTTAATCCATCTCAAGCTGCATACAAGATTTGTTCCTTACCCCTCCCATGTTATATCCCTCTACTCTCATCTCACCTCTGTACCATTCCCTTCAGCCACATGGACCTACCGGCATCATCTAGGCAGTTCCCTTGGTAGGACTTTATAAAACCCTATCTTTGCATGATTTGGATAGTGGTTGGGACAACAAACCAAACACCCACCTTTCTGTTACGTTCTGAACATTTCCTCTGCCTCCTCACTCTGAAGCAGGAACAAATATATACTTTTCCATTGAGTCATAATCTTTACCCTTGTCTCTGCTAGCTGCTCTGTCTCTCAGACTTTAAAAGCTCACTCAACTAGCGCAGATCTCACTTTTCTCATCCCAGTTACATTCTTCCTAAGTTCTCAGTGGAGCTGAACCAAAAGTTAAGTTGTAGTATATACAAATTTAACATTCTAACCAACAGAAAACACTTTAAAAAATGAAATATCAAAACAAAAACACAAATGCAACTTTTTGAAGGAAAGGAAAAGTTCTAATATCCCCACAGCCAACCTTATGTAACTAAATACAAATTCTTGGGGCAAAAACAGCACAAATTTGATAAACAATTTCAAGACACATATGCTACCATATTCTTACTCATAAAACCTGAGGCTTTGTTTCAGTGTTTCCCTAATATTTGTACATTGCCTCCAGTTACATTGTGTTGTATTATCATACTTCTTTTTTTTTTTTTTTTTTGAGACAGAGTCTCGTTCTGTTGCCAGGCTGAAAAGCAGTGGTGCGAATCTTGGCTCCCTGCAACCTCCACCTCCTGGGTTCAAGTGATTCTCCCGCCTCAGCCTCCCGAGGAGCTGGGACAATAGGCGCACGCCACCACTCCCAGCTAATTTTTGTATTTTTAGTAGAGACGGGATTTCACCATGTTGGCTAGGATGGTCTCGATCTCCTGACCTTGTGATCCGCCTGCCTCAGCCTCCCAAAGTGCTGGGATTACAGGCGTGAGCCACCGCACCCAGCCATATTATCATACTTCTTGAATGCTGGACTATACAAGTTCAGCAGGCTGGGTGCGGTGGCTCACACCTGTAATCCCAGCACTTTCGGAGGCCGAGACAGGTGGTCACGAGGTCAGGAGCTCAAGACCATCCTGGCCAACATGGTGAAATCCCGTCTCTACTAAAAAATAAAAAATAAAAAAATTAGCTGGGCATGGTGGCGCGTGCCTGTAATCCCAACTACTCGGGAGGCTGAGGTAGGAAAATCGCTTGAACCAGGGAGTCAAAGGTTGCAGTGAGCCAAGATTGTGCCACTGCACTCCAGCCTGGTGACAGAGCGAGACTTCATCTCAAAAAAAAAAAAAGTTCAGTGACTACTGTGCTCTACCATTTTAATTTAGACAGCAGCTAAAAATTAAAGGTTTCTTACAGGAAGACTACTTTCGGCTGCTTGTTCTAGCAGAGATGCACAATCTGTTAACATCTGCGTCCCAATGAACCCTAAAACTAGCTTCTCAATGTATGGACCAAACTTTCTTTTCAGAGAATTAAGTGGCCAAGTTCACACTATTTTGGCTCTTGTCTAAGTGCTCACACCGCATTACAGCACCACAAAAAAGCAGAAAGAACATGTTGATGGTGAAGTGAAACTCACTTCTGCCATAACAGCAACCAATGCTGGCTACTTTCATTCACAAACTTATCTGGTCATAGGAAATTCAACTTACACCGGGTGCGGTGGCTCACGCCTGTAATCCCAGCACTGTGGGAGGCTGAGCGGGGGGCGGATCACCTGAGGCCAGGAGTTCAAGACCAGCCTGGCCAACATGGTGGAACTCCATCTCTACAAAAATTACCCGGGCACGATGGTGGGTGCGTGTAATCCCAGCTACTCGGGAGGCTGAGGCGGGAGAATTACTTGAACCCAGGAGGCAGAGGTTGCAGTGAGCTGAAATTGCGCCACTGCACTCCTGCCTGGGCGATTGAGCAAGACTCTGTCTCAAAAATAAAAAAAAAAGGAAAAAGGAAATTCAACTTAAAAATGCCACTGCATACAAATATTGTTGCCACCCTTTCTACCACCCTTCATCTACCAGAACTCCAATGCCACTGCCAGGGGAACCATTTAGAGAATTTGTGGGTTCTGATGAGAATCAGAACTTGTGAAGTCAATCCTCAAGCAAGCAGGCCTGTCAACATTTTAGTCTGCCTAGCCCAAGTCTTTTCCTAAGTGCAGTTTTTTTCCACGTTATTATGCTACCTAAAATACTTCCAATTCAGAGATTAATTTGGGTAAACAAACATTCTATTTAAAAATATGAAGACTTACTAGAGTTAAGGATGTATCAATCATTTCATAACATAAATTAATTCAATCATATTGCCTTCTCTTAAAAGCTAGTAACAATACATTTAGAGTCGATATACAGAGGAAAAGGGTGTTGATTTAGAAGAAGAGGGATGTAAGTAGCTTTAGTGTCACAAGTGCCTTTTTGGGGAGAGGTAAGAAAGGCCTGCAGTACCACGTGAGGGCAACTTAGGGCAGGAAAAGACACTGAACACCTGGAGCCACAGACACAGCAAGAAGTTAAAATAAATGTACACACAGGCGCGGCGGCTCACGCCTGTAATCCCAGAACTTTGGGGGGCCGAGGCGGGCGGATCACAAGGTCAGGAGATCGAGACCATCCTGGCTAACACGGTGAAACCCCGTCTCTACTAAAAATACAAAAAATTAGCCGGGCGTGGTGGCGGGCGCTTGTAGTCCCAGCTGCTGGGGAGGCTGAGGCAGGAGAATGGCGTGAACCCGGCAGCGGAGCTTGCAGTGAGCCGAGATCGCGCGACTGCACTCCAGCCTGGGAGACAGAGCGAGACTCCATCTCGAAAACTAAATAAATAAATCAAATAAATAAATAAATGTATAAAAACCTTTGCCTCCGCCCTGTCTTATGCCCAGTAACAAAGAGAAAATATTCTTCAAATTCCCTTCTGTACTCATGCTAAGGAGCACAGAAGATATGATTTAATAAGAGCCTGGGAACTACTCAGCTAAACCTGGGTTCGACCTTCTACTTCTGTCATTCACTAGTGTGACTCTGAGTAAGATACTAATTTCTCTAGGCATCAGTTTCCTCAGTTATAAAATGGGGATTTATCAACTTCATGAAGTGCTACCATGAATTAAAAGAATTCAGCTGGGCGTGGTGGCTCACACTGTAATCCCAACACTTTGGAAGGCCGAGGCAGACGGACTGCTTGAGCTCACAAGTTTGAGACCAGTCTGGGCAAAATGGTTAAAAAAAAAAAAAAAAAAAAAAAAAAAAAAAAACCATCTCTACAAAAAAGATTAGCCAGGCGTGGTGGCACATGCCTGTAGTCCCAGCTACTCAGGAGGCTGAGGTGGAAGGATTGCTTAAGTCCAGGAGTTTTGAGGCTGCTGTGAGCTATGATCATACCACTCCAACCTGGGTGACAGAGCAAAATCCTGTCTCTAAAAAAAAAAAAGAAAAGAAAATTCACATTAAAGAACTTGGGATACCTCTTAATTAGCAGTTAGCTATTAATAAAGACTGGCCAGGCACAGTGGTTCACTTGAAGTCAGGAATTCAAGACCAGCCTGACCAACATGTGAAACCCTGTCTCTACTAAAAATACAAAATTAGCTGGGCGTGATGGTGGGAGCCTGTAATCCCAGCTACTCGGGAGGCTGGGGTGGGAGAATCGCTGGAACCCAGGAGGCAGAGGTTGCTGTGGGCCGAGATCACGCCACTGCACTCCAGCCTGGGCGACAGCAAGACTCCATTGAAAGAAAGAAAGGAAGAAAAGAAGGAAGGAGGGAGGGAGGGAAGGAGGGAAAGAGAGAAGGAAGGAATGACGGAATGACGGACAGATAGTCCCAAGTTTACAGTACTCTATACGTAAATGACATGGAAGTATAAAGTGTGAATATATATAGCTTATGGAGAAATACATTTTTGACAGTAAACAGGCAGAGAAAGACATCTCAGTTTTCTTTTTCTCACTCATCTGATGCTATGAACATGTGTCTCATTCAAGTTGAACACTCATTTTTTTAAAAGCAGTACAATGAAGACAGCAAAAACCTATTACACTAGAAAAAAGTGAATGGTATGCATAGAGAACAACATGATACACGAAAGGGATCTGCTTCAAAGACATCTATAACAGCACTCCAGTGTGACTGAGAAGCACTGAGAGGTGATAGGGAGGCAGTAGAAAACTAAATACAAGTACAGTATGTATGTATTCTAGAATTTCTAAAGATTCACAGGTCTATAGAGCTAAACATTAAAACAGAAAGGATTCTACAGAGAATGACATTACGACACAACAAATAAAACCATAGTAACGGAAGTAACAACTGTAATATTTTGGGGCACATGATGTCAACACTCAGGGTCCAGAGTTAGAGGATAGGGAAAGACTACTTTGCCATCCTATCTACAATCTTCACACAATCATTTAATGCGAGAACCTAACCTTTAGGGAGCATATTCCTGAGATGGTGCTACCATACCACTGGTAACAATCTGAGGTCGAGCGCGGTGGCTCACGCCTGTAATCCCAGCACTTTGGGAGGCCGATGTGGGTGGATCACTTGAGGCCAGGAGTTGGAGACCAGCCTGGCCCACATGGTGAAACCCCATCTCTACTAAAAATAACCAAAATTAGCTGGGCCTGGTGGCGGGCGTCCACCTACTAGGGACGTCCCAGCTACTAGGGAGGCCGAGGTGGAAGAATCACTTGAACCCAGAAGGCGTAGGTTGCAGTGAGCCAAGATCACGCCACTGCACTGCACTCTGTTGCCTGGGCAACAGAGCAAGACCCTGTCTCTAAATAAATTAAATAAATAAATAAATAAATAAATAAATAAACAATGTGACAGGATGACTTCCATCTTTGGAGTCTGTCAGGATAGTGAACTGCAAGAGCGTTCCAAAGAAAGTACCACTACACATGCAGATTTTTTAAAAGGAAGCACATGCTAAATCTTGGTTAAGTCTGAACAAAGCCAGTGCTAGAAAGAAGCCCATGAAGCAAAGTATACCATCCACTTTCTTAAACAAAGCCAAGCTAAGCCATCTGTTCCCGTATCATCAGTTGTTCTTAGCGTATCACTTAGTGAATCATTTCAGAAACAGGAGCTAACTGAAAGATAATTAAAGGTTCCAGTGGTTCTTAGTGTCGAAGCACTAGAGGCATTCAGTAACATGAGAGACCATTTTTGGTGTTTCATGCCTGGGGAGTCGGGGATACTACTGGCATTTCATGGAGAGAGGCCAGGGGTGATGTGGTGGACTGAAAAACGTCCTCCAAAAGACTACTCGAACCTTCATTTCAGACTTCCGGCCTCCAGAACCATCACAGAATAAATCTGTGTTAAACCACTCAATTTGCGGTAATTTGTCAGCAGTCAAAGGCAACTAAAAGTATTAAACTTCTGGAATGGATAGAACAGTCCTACTGTAATTGCCAATAACACTACCACTGAGCTACACAGAGGAATATGAAGAAGTGAAGGTTAACTGAAAGGGAAGAGGAAAAGTAAGGAGGGCTAAATGATGTAAGTGAGGGAACAGTGATAAACAAGTTTAGTGAAGTTACACATTTTACCCACATTTTACCTATGCACCCAAGAGGGACTTAACAATTTCTGATGGATCAGCTGTAAAGAATTTGGACTTCTATCTTACTACAGTTAGAAGAACATACCTTTTTTTTTAAGGGGGGGCTAATAAAACAAGTTTGACAAGTTTACGATTTAAACTATTTGCAAACTTGTTAAAAATGGGCTTTTTGGGACTGGGTGCAGTGTCTCATATCTGTAATCCCAGCACTTTGGGAGGCCAAGGTGGGTGGATCACCTGAAGTCAGAAGTTTGAGACCAGCTAACACCGCGAAACCCCGTCTCTACTGTAAGTACAAACAAAATTAGCCAGGCATGGTGATGCGTGCCTGTAACCCCAGCTACTGAGGAGTCTGAGGCAGAAGAATCGTTTGACCCCGGGAGGTGGAGGTTGCAGTGAGCCAAGATTGCGCCATTGCACTCCAGCCTGGGTGACAGAGCGAGACTCCATCTCAAAAAAAAAAAAAAATTAAATTAAATTAAAAAACGGACTTATTTTGAGGCTCCGATATTGTAGGCAGCAGCAGGGTGGCTTAATCTAATCCAGTCATCTATACTCCATGACAGGAGTCCTACTTTGTTTCTCACCACATGAACCCCCTTCTAAAACATCCTTTATCTGTCCTTCTCTCCATCTGTTTTACACTTGCTACTGAATGGCACCAAACGGCCTTCCTTAACCCAGCTGTGGCACACAACTTATGATGGCCATTTTCATGCTGCTATCTCCTAGTTTATACTCTAATGCACATTGTCTACACTACTCTCAGTGCCAAAAGACGGACAGTGATCATCTCTTCACTACCATCCAGAAACCAAAGTATAGCAGTCACAGAGACTTTTAAAAACAATCATCATCATCCCTCTATAGAAATGATAGGGACAAGAGGTTACTTTTCGGTTCCACATTTTCCCCAGCAATGATACCAAAGTAAGCTAAACTATTTGCCAAGGATATGGGAGTGGATGACAGTTGTGAGAAATAAGCTGAAATTTTAACCTCAGTCTCTAATCCTGGAGTTTTTAAGCTTTCAAATATCGAAAACATTTTTAAATGCATACCAGAAAAAACTGAGTACAGAGAAATCGAATTACTAAGTTAGGGGACAGATAAGGCAAACATTCATTAGTTCACAAAAGGAACCAATGGTGCAGGAAGTAGTGCTAATGGTGGGAAATGCATGCGCCCAGGAGCCAAGATGCCAGAGTTCCAGGCCCTGTTCTGCCATCACCTAGGCCAGTACTACCCAAATGGTAGTCCTTAGACCAGCTATCTCTTACTAGTCTGTGACAAGATAAAAATACAAATTCCAGTGGAAGCATTCAGAAACGTTTACAGCAATTTGAGAGAGTAATTTTATGTCTGTTGAATCTCATAATTAAAAGTTGGGGCTTGAAAGATTTATGGATAGTGGCCGGGTGTGGTGGCTCATGCCCATAATCCCAGCACTTTGGGAGGCTGAGGCAGGTGGATTACAAGGTCAGGAGATTGAGACCATCCTGGCCAACATGGTGAAACCCCCCCCCAGTCTCTAGTAAAAATACAAAAAATTAGCTGGGTGTGGTGGCAGGCGCCTGTAGTCCCAGCTACTTGGGAGGCTGAGGCAGGAGAACAGCTTGAAACTGGGAGGTGGAGGTTGCAGTGAGCCAAGATCGCACCACTGCACTCCACCCTGGCAACAAAGCGAGACTCCATCTCAAACCAAAAAAAAAAAAGATTTATAGATGGTAAGTTATTACATGAAAAATGCCCCAAATCATTAGTCACCTGAGAAATGCAAATTAAGACCACAATGACATACCATTACACACTTATTGAAATGGCTTTAAAAAAAACAATGGCCAGGCACGGTAGCTCACGCCTGTAATCCCAACACTTTGGGAGGTTGAGGCGGGCAGATCACTTGAGGCCAGGAGTTCAAGACCAGACTGGCCAATGTGGTGAAACCCTAGTCTCTAGTAAAAATACAAAAATTATCCAGGCAAGGTGGTGCACGCCTGTAGTCCCAGCTACTTGGGAGGGTGAGGCAGGAGAATCGCTTGAACCCAGGAGACAGAGGCTGCAATAAATCAAGATCACACCACTGCACTCCAGCCTGGGTGACAGGGTGAGACTCCATCTCAAAAACAAAAAACAAAAAAGCCCAGGCGTGGAGGCTCACACCTGTAACCCCAGCACTGTGGGAGACCAAGGCAGGAGTTTGAGACCAACCTAGGCAGCACAGGGAGACCTCATCTATACAGAAAATTAAAAATTAGCTGGGCATGGTGGTGTGTGCCTGTAGTCCCAGCTACTCAGGAGGCTGAGGCAGGAGGATTATTGACCCCAGGAGCTTGAGGCTGCAGTGAGCTATGATAACACGGCTGCACTCCACCAGGGGCAAGAGAATGAGATCTTGTCTCAAAAGAAAAAAAAAAAAGACAATTAAAAATACCAAATGATGGAAAGAATGCAGAACAACTGGAACTCTCTTTTATTACTATTTTTTAATACAGATGTGGGGGTCTCTCTTTGTTGTCCAGGTTGGCGTCAAATTCCTGGCCTAGAGCAATCCTCCCGCATCAGCCTCTCAAAGCCACTATACTTTCCAAAGTGACTTTGGAAAGTCACTATACCAGAAAGTCACAAATTATTTGTCAGCTTCTTAGAAAGTTAATATAACTATTATTATATGATCCAATAAACACACTCCTAGGTATTTATCAAAAGATATTCACACACTTGTACACGACTGTTTTTGGCAGCTTTATTTATAATGTCCCCAAACTGGAAAGTGTCCTTCATTTGATAAATGCATAAACAAACCACAGTACAACCATACAATGGTATACTATTCCCCAATAAATAGGAAGGAACTACTAACCATGACAACATGAATGAATCTCAAACACAATAGTTTAAGAGCAAGAAGCCAGACTCAAAAGGTTACATATTGTGATTACACTTACATGACATTCTGGAAAACAGGAGACTAAAAACAGACTAGGCTATGGGCAGCCCAGCCCGCCAAGTCCTCGCCTGGCTGCATGCCAGCCTGATCAAGCCATAACCAGAGGACACAACAGCCCAACCTAGCGGGGCCAGTCACCACCTGGTCTGGGGATCATCTCTACCACAAGCGGCTGAGGCACAGCTGCCCTGGGGAGGGCGGAAGGCCAGGCATGTGGGCTAAACTGGCAGGTCACCGCAACATGTAAGTGTTTCCACGCCAGCAAACATTTACTGAGTATCTACCACGTATAAGAACATTGGCAACAAGCCCTCCAACAAGCCGGTCCCTGAGAGGAGCATGTGGACAGTGCCTGTGTGGGCCAATGGACCCTCTGTGGAGCTGGCCCCCTCATCCGCTCCAGATTGTGGCCTGGCCACTGTGCCTCTTTTCTTGGCTGTGATGGGGCTTGGGGTACTTGTTCCCCTCCTGCCTGACCATTAGGTGCCAGCTGGCTTCACTGTATCCTTGGGAAACTGTGGAGCTGGGTCATGGAAGA